>NC_000023.11:85189814-85492845 GCF_000001405.40 Homo sapiens | reverse complement strand
TTTAACTCCAGAACTTAATAAGTTTTGGCAGAGATCAAAGAGTTAACCATAAGTATACAAGCTGCTGCTCCTCCCCCAATCCTCAAACCAAACAAACCAAAGCCAGTTGCTGACAATGCAGAGTATGAATGCACCCTATCTCCACTCCTATTTTCCCTTCTGTTTTCTCATAGTGCTCTCTTCTGCTTATTTGTTCTGCAATGTGGAGTAAGCCTAAGTGCTCTCAATGAATACTCCCTTTGCCGAGCCCTTGTTAGTGCTCTGTTTCATATCTTTTTTTTCTTTCTTTCTTTTTTTTTTTTTTTTTGAGATGGAGTCTTGCTCTGTCACCCAGGCTGGAGTACAGTGGCGCTATCTTGGCTCACTGCAAGCTCCGCCTCCCGGGTTCACGCCATTCTCCTGCCTTAGCCTCCTGAGTAGCTGGGACTACAGGCGCCCACCACCACGCCCGTCTAATTTTTTGTATTTTTAGTAGAGACGAGGTTTCACCGTGTTAGCCAAGATGGTCTCAATCTCCTGACCTTGAGATCCGCCCGCCTCAGCCTCCCAAAGTGCTGGGATTACAGGCTTGAGCCACCGCACCCGGCCTGTTTCATATCTTTAAGCAGGAAAGAAAAGCATAGTATTAAACATCAGAAACCCCAAATTTGAAGCCCTGTATTTGATTTTTAAAACCTTACTCTTCATTTGTCTGTCGACCTCAACCTTTCTCTGCTATAACTAGATGTTTTTAGACAATCACGATGGTTTCTTCAGACTCTAGCATTCCATGATTTGCAAGTGTTTGTTTGCTTCACTTGCTTACTGTGGTTTAATTTCCAGTTTTCTCTTTTCTCTCTCTTTGTAAATGGCTAGGTTAAACAATGGAATATCAAGAATTGAAAGCTTACTTCTATTGTGAGCAGGACTTATATTCTGAATAAATGAATTTGCAAAACAGACAACTGCTGTGCAGGGTAAAATAATATTATCACTTCAGTAAATAATATCATCACCTCAGTAAATGATGACCTTCAATTCATAGAGGCTCTTGATTAAAAAGCCCACAAAACCAACACACACATACACACACACCCACAAACACATTCACAAATATGAACCACAATAGCCAATGAATGTAGTGAGAAAAAATATCTTAGGATACAAATTAACAAATACTTGAGACCTGTGCTACAGGAGACTGGCCCTGGACAACTCTCATCTAATCTACTTTTTACTTCGTGTTGGAAGGCAATTGTGGTTTTAAGGTCAGGATGGCTGTCATAGTGGACGGGGGGGTACTCCAGATATCTTAGTGATGATGGTGGTGGTAATGGTAGCTGATAGCAGTTACCATTTATTGAACAAATGTTATGTACTAGTCAGTGTGCTAACATACCTGGTAAATGGTAATATCCTTATTTTACAGATAAGTAAGCTAAAGCTCAGGAAGACTAAGTAAACTTACCCAGAGTTACAAAACTATTAAGCGACTCTGCTATTACTGTGATTTGGGGAACCAGTAATGCATTAATCTGGTCTGTGTATAAGACTCAGAGTGAGGGATGCACAGGAATATAAACCAGCCAATTGTTCCTCAGGAATCTTTTCTATGCCCTTTATTTTTCTCTCTCAGAATTCCTTATGGTATAAAGTTTATCCATTTTTTTGAGAGTTCTGATGTCAAAGTCTTCAGACACCTTTCCAAACTCTCTCTTTCTTCCATCAATTTTTCTTTCTGTCTCTTTGACTCTTCCTCAGTTTCCCTCTGTCACCACATGTCTCTGCATCCCTCCTAACATCTCTCCACCACACTCCAGAGTTTTGTTTAGTGAGAGAGAAAGCCTGAAGTGACTAGGCTGAAAAGGCAAATGAATGTGGGACTCAGAATGACACCAGCCTCTAAACCCAGTGGGAAATATCTGTGGACATGCAGCTGTGTGTAACTTTCTTTACACTGGCTGTTTAAAATCCCACGGCAGAACACATTCCCATGCTCTGAAGTATCAGCTGCTGTTTTCTGTTTGTTGTTGTTTTTTGTTTGTTTATTTTTTGAGATGGAGTTCTGCTCTTGTTGCCCAGACTGGAGTGCAATGGCACAATCTCCACTCATTATAACCTCCACCTCCCGGGTTCAAGCGATTCTCCAGCCTCAGCCTCCCGAGTAGCTGGGATTACAGGTGCCTGCCACCATGCCCGGCTGATTTTTGTATTTTTAGTAGAGACGGGGTTTCACCATGTTGGCCAGGCTGCTCTCGAACTCCTGACCTCAGGTGATCCACCTGCCTTGGCCTCCCAAAGTGCTGGGATTACAGGAATGAGCCACCATGTATGTGTGTGTGCGTTGGCAGAGGAGGCATTTATATTTACCATAGCTCTGACACTCCCCAAAATCTTTTCTTTAGCACCACCTGCCAACCTTAGGAGGTCAGCTCTAAATGACTGCTTAAGATGTTTCCATGGCTGGCTTGGGCATGTCAAATACCACAAATTCTATTGATAACACTTTATGTTTAATAATGATACTTTCACCACAATTCTAGATAGGCAATTTTGAATCTTCATAAGGAAAACTGTTACAAGATTCCAGGCTCAGATTGTAGTGGTCTAATTTTTTTAAGTTGGGGGGGGGATAGTTTTCCTTGGGTCTTGTGGTCCTATCTCTTTAAAAATTATCATGACATGGGAAAACAGGTGATCGCATTCATCACCAGAAAGAGTGTAAATGGGTACCTTTTTTCTGAATGCCTATGATGTAATATATATCAAAATCCTTAAACACATATATTTCTTACCTTATCAATTAGCTTTCTAGGAATTTATTAGAGGGCAGGGTTCAGCAAGCTATGGCCTGCATGCTAGATCCTACCCTCTTCCTGTTTTGTAAATAAATGTTATTGTGATACAGCCATGCTAATTCATTTACACATTGTGACTGCTTTTACATTTTAACAGCTCAGCTGAGTAGTTGTTACAGAGACTGTATGGCCTTCAAAGCCTTAAATATTTATTATCTGGCCATCTACAGAATAATTTTGCCAACCTTTGGTCTAGGAGGATGATTAAGAATATGTACAAGAGGGAGTTCTCCAAAGATGGCTGACTAGAAGCAGCTGTGGTGTGTGGCTCTCATGGAAAGGAATGAAAGGGGTGAGTAAATACAGAACCTTCAACTGAAACATTCAGTTACTTGCATTGGGACTAATCAAGGAAAACAATTTAACCCAAAGAAAATGGAGAAAAGCAAGGCAAAATAATGCCCCACCAGGGAGTGACATGAAGCCAAGGGGGCTTCCCCAACCCAGGGAAGTGGTGAGTGAATGTGTGACCTTGGGAAACCATGCTTTTCCCATTGACCTTTGCAACCCTTGGGTCAGGAGATTCCCTCATGAACCCCCCCACCAGGGCCTTCAGTCTGACACACAGAGCTATGTGGAGCTTTAGTAGAGCTGCTACTCAGGCACACGTGGAGATTTAGGAGGTTTACATACTCCAGCTCTGGGCTTCCTGGCAAAAGTAACTGCAACTCCGGCAAAGTGGGAGGTGACACCTCCATACATACCCCTAGAAAAGAGGCTGAACAATGTTCATCCAAGAGATGAACAATGATGGCCTGCAGGCCCCACTTCCACAGTGCCTCACAGGATAAGACCCACTGGCTTGGAATTCCAGCCATCCACCACCAACAGTGTTGCACCTGCCTGGGATGGAGTTCCTGGGGCATGGGACGAGCCTCCATCTTTGCCGTTTGGGTGACTCAACCATTCCAGCCTGTGGGCTTTGGAGAGTCGAAGTCAATAGGAGGCAGAAGGGATCCCCCAGCATAGCTCAGCTGCTCTACAAAAATGTGGCCAGATAGCTTCTTTAAGTGGATCCCTGATCCATAGCCCCTCACTGGGCAGAACCTCCCAACCAGGGCCTCCAGCCACACCCACCAGTGTTTTCTGGCTGACAGAGATTTGAGAACTTCCTGGGTCAGAGCTCCCAGAAGAAGGGGTGGGCAAGAATTATTGCCATTTGGGCAACTTAGCGGTCCCACCTCCACCTTGTGGAGAGCCCAACCCAACCAGGGACAGAAAAAATACCCCAGCATAAGTACAGTGCTGTACAAAATTGTGGCCAGACTGCTTTTTTAAGCAGGTCCCCAATACCGTTCCTCCTGAATGGGTGAGACCTCCCAACCAGGGTCTCTAGCCACCTCCTGCATTCAGGCTGGCAACAGGTCCATACTTCCCTGGGACAGAGCTCCCAGAGAGACAGGCAGGCTGCCATATTTGCTGTTTCACAGCCTTTACTGGGAATACCTCCAGGTACTGGAAAATCTCAGGTGACTAGGTACTGGAGTGGACCCCCAGAAAACTGTACCAGCCCTATGGAAGAGTAGCCAGATTAAGAAAAAAAAAAATCCAACCATTCAAGGGTCAGCAACCTCAAAGATTGAAGGTAAATATGCCCAAAAAGATGAGCATGAATCAGGAGAAGAGCACAGAAAATTCAAAAAGCCAGAGTGCCCTCTTGCCTCTAAATGATTGCATCACATCTCTAGCATGGGTTTGGAACTGAGCTGAGGCTGAAATGGCTGAAATGAGAGAAGTAGAATTCAGAATGTGGATAAAAATAAACTTCACTGAGCTGAAGGAGCACATTGCAACCCAATGCAAGGAAGCTAAAAATAATGATAGAACATTGCAGGATCTGACAGACAAAATAGCCAGTATAAAGAAGAATGTAACTGACCTGATAGAACTGAAAAAAAAAAAAAAAACTACAAGAATTTCATAATGCAATCACAAGTATAATAGCAGAATAGACCAAGCAGAGGAAAGAATCTCAGAGCTTGAATACTGTCTTTCTAAAATAAGACAGGTAGACAAGAATAGAGAAAAAAGAATAAAAAGGAGTGAACAAAAACTCCAGAAAACATGGGATTATGTCAAGAGACCAAATCTATGACTGGTTGGGGTACCTGAAAGAGATGGGGAGAATGGAATCAATTTGGAAAACATGTTTCAGGATATCATACATGAGAACTTGCCCAACCTAGATAGCAGGCCAACATTCAAATTCAGAAAATGCAGAGAGCCCCAATAAGATCCTCCACGAGAAGATCATCTCCAAGAAATGTAATCATCAGATTTTCTAAGGTCAAAATGAAAGAAAAAATGTTAAGGCAGCTGGAGAGAAAGGTCAGGTCATTTACAAAGGGAAGCCCATCAGACTAAGAGTGGACCTCTTAGCAGAAACCTTGCAAGCCATAAGAGATTTGAAGCCAACATTCAACATTCTTTAAAAAAAAAAAAAGAAAGAAAGAAAGAAAGAAATTCCAACCCAGAATTTCATATGTGGCCAAAACTAAGTTTCATCAAAGAAGAAATAACATCATTTTCAGACTGGCAAATGCCAAGGGAGTTCATTTCCACCAGACCTTCCTAACAAGAGCTCCTAAAGAAAGCACTTAATATGGAAAGAAAAGACTGTTAACAGCGACTACAAAAACACACTGAAGTACACAGACCAGTGACACTATAAAGCAACCACATAAACAGTTCTGCAAAATTATCAGCTAACATCATGATGACAGGATCAAATCCACACATATCAATACTAACCTTAAAGGTAAATGTGCTAAATACCCCCATTTAAAAGAAAGAGTGGTAAATTGAATAAATTACCAAGACCCATTGATATGCTGTCTTCAAGACGCCCACCTCACCTGCAGTGGCACATAGGCTCAAAGCAAAGGGTTGGAGGAAAATCTACCAAGCAAATGGAAAACAAAACAACAACAAAAAAGAAGAGGTTGCAATCCTAGTTTCTGAAAAAACAGACTTTAAACCAATAAAAATCAAAAAAGACAGAGAAGGGCATAATGGTAAAGTGTTCAATTCAGCAAGAAGATCTAACTGTCGTAAATATATATTTACTCAACACAGGAAGACTCAGATTCATAAAGAAAGATTTTAGAGATTTTCAAAGAGACCTAGACTCCCACACAATAATAGTGGGAGACTTTAACACCCCACTGACAATATTAGACAAATCATTGAGAAAGAAAATTAACAAAGATATTCAGAACCTGAAAATTAACAAAGATATTCAGCATGGTATCAAATGGAACAGATAAATATCTACAGAACTCTCCACCCCAAAACACCAGAATATACATTCTTCTTACTGCCACATGGCACGTACTCTAAAACTGATCACATAATCGGAAGTAAAACAATCCTCAGCAAATGCAAAGCAACTGAAATCATAACAGTTTCTCAGGCAAGAGTGCAATCAAATAAAACTCAAGATTAATAATTTCACACAAAACCATACTATTACATGGAAAATGAACAACCTTCTCCTGAATGACTTGGTTAAATAATGAAATTAATGCAGAAATCAAGAAGTTATTTGAAACTAATGAGAACAAAGATACAACGTACCAGAATCTCTGGGACACAGCTAAGGCAGAATTAAGAGAGGAATTTATAGCACTAAATGACCACATCAAAAAGTTAGAAAGATCTCAAGTTAACAACCTAACATCACAACTAAAGAACTGGCGAACCAAGAGCAAACAAACTTTAAAGCTAGTAGAAGACAAGAAATAACCCAAATTGGAGCTAAACTGAAGGAAATAGAGACAAGAAAAAACATTCAAAAGGCCAATGAATCCAGGAGCTGGGTTTTTTTTTTTTTGGAAAAAATAATAAAATAGATTGACAACTAGCTAGATTAGTAAAGAGGAAAAGAGATCAATTCAAATAAATACACTAAGTAACAATAAAGGAGATATTACCACTGACCCCACAGAAATACAAACAACCACCAGAGAAAATTATAAACATCTTTTTGCACATAAACTAGAAAATCTAGAATAAAAGAATTAATCCCTGGACACATACACCCTCCCAAAACTGAACCAGGAAGAAATTTAATCCCTGAACAGACCGATAAAATGTTCTGAAATTGAGGCAATAATAAATAGCCTGCCAATCAAAAAAGCCTCATACCAGATGAATTCACTGCTGAATTCTACTAGGTGTACAAAAAGGAGCTGGTACCATCCCTACTGAAACTATGCCACAAAATTGAAAAGGAGGGACTCCTCCCTAACTCATTCTATGAGGCCAGCATCATACTGATACCAAAACTGGGCAGAGATACAAAAAAATAAAAATAAAATAAAACTTCAGGCTGATATTCTTGATGAATATCAACGCAAAAATTCTCAACAAAATACTGGAAAACTTAATCCAGCAACACATTAAAAAGCTTATCCCCCATTATCAAGTAGGCTTCATCTTTGGGATGTAAGGTTGATTCAATGTATACAAATCAATAAATGTGATTTAACACATAAACAGAACTAAAGACAAAAACCACATGATTATCTGAATAGATGTAGAAAAGGCTTCTGATAGAAATCAACATCCTTTCATGTTAAAAACTCTCAATAAACTACGTATTGATGTAACATACCTCAAAATAATAAGAGCCATGTATGATAAACCCACAGCCAATATCATACTGAATGGTCAGAAGCTGGAAGCATTTCCCTTGAAAACTGGCACATTACAAGGATGCCCTCTCTCATCCCTTCTATTCAGCATAGAATTGGAAGTTCTTGCCAGGGTAATCAGGCAAGAGAAATAAATAAAGGCATCCAAATAGAAAGAGAGGAATTCAAACTATCCCTGGTTGTAGATGATGTAATCTTTTATGTAAAAAACCCCATCGTCTCAGCCCAAAAGCTTCTTAAGCTGATAAGTAACTTCAGCAAAGTCTCAGGATACTAAATCAATGTGCAAAAATTGCTAGCATTCCTATACACCAACAACAGTCAAACCGAGCACCAAATTACAAACGAACTCCCATCCACAGTTGCCACAAAAAGAATAAAATATCTAGGAATACTGTTAATTAGGGAGGTGAAAGATCTCTGCAAGAGGAACTACATACCACTGCCCAAAGAAATCACAGATGACACAGACAAATGGAAAAACATTCCATGCACATAGAAAGGAAGATTCAATATAGTTAGAATGGCTATACTGCCCAAAGCAATTCATAGATTCAATGCTATTGCCATCAAACTTCCATTGACATTCTCCACAGAACTAGAAAAAACTATTTTAAAATTTATATGGAATCAAACAGAGCCCAAACGTCCAAGGCAATCCTAAGTGAAAAGATCAAAGCTGGAGGCATCACACTACTGACTTCAAAAAATACTACAGGGCTACAGTAACCAAAACAACATGGTACCAGTAGAAGAACAGACACATAGACCAATGGGACAGAATTGAGAACCTAGAAATAAGAATGCACACCTACCACTATCTGATCTTCATCAAACCTGACAAAAACAAGCAATGGGAAAAGGATTCCCTAGTCAATAAATGGTGCTGGGTTAACTGGCTAGCCATATGCATAAGATCGAAAATGGACTACTTCCTTACATTATGTAAAATAATTAACTCAAAATTAATTAAAGACTTAAAATGTAAATCCCAAAACTATAAAAACCCTAGAAGACAGCCTAGGCAATACCATTCAGGACATAGGCACAGGCAAAGATTTCATGATGAAGACACCAAAAGCAATTGCAACAAAAGCAAAAATTGGCAAATGGGATCTAGTTAAGCTAAAGAGCTTCTGCACAGCAAAAGAAACTATCAACAGAGTGAAAAAACAAACTACAGAATTCAAGAAAATTTTTGTAAACTATGCATTCTACAAAGGTCTAATATCCAGCATCTATAAGGAACTTAAATTTATAAGAAAAGAACACACAACTACATAAAAAGTGGATAAAGGACATGAACAGAGGCTTTTCAAAAGAAGACATACATGCAGCCAACAAGCATAGGAAAAATATCTCAACATCACTGATCATTAGAGAAATGCAAATCAAAATCACAATGAGATTCCATCTAACACCAGTCAGAATGGCTACTATTAAAGAGACAGAAAATAACAGATGCTGGCAAAGTTGTGGTGAAAAAGGAATGCTTATACACTATTGGTGCAAGTGTAAATTAGTTCAACCATTGTGCAAGACAGTGTTGTGATTCCTCGAAGACCTAAAGACAGAAATATTTGACCCAGCAATCCCATTACTGGGTATATACCCAAAGGAATATAAATCATTCTATCATAAAGACACACGCATGCATATGTTCACTGCAGCACCATTCACAATAGCAAAGACATGGAATCAACTTAAATGCCCATCAGTGATAGACTAGGTAAAGAAATGTGGTACATATACACTATGAAATACTATGCAGCCATAAAAAAGAACAAGATCATGTCCTTTTCAGGGACATGGATGGAGCTGGAGGCCATTATTCTTAGCAAACTAACGCAGGAGCAGAAAACCAAATACTGCATATTCTCATGTATAGGTGGGAGCAAAACGATGAGAACACATGGACACATAGAGGGGAACAACACACACTGGGGTCTTTTGGAGGGTGGAAGGTTGGAGGAGGGAGTGGATCAGGAAAAACAACTAATGGATACTAGGCTTAATACCTGGGTGATGACACAATCTGTACAACAAACCACCATGACACAAGTTTACCTATGTGGCAAACCTGCACTTGTACCCCTGAACTTAAAAGTTAAAAAGAGATGACTGAATAAACAAAATGTGGTACGTATATGCAAAGGAATATTACTCAGCCATAAAAGTAATGAAGTTCTGGCACATGCTAGCTATAAATGGGCGAACCTTGAAAACAATATGCCAAATTAAAAAGCCAATCACAAAAGGACAAATATTGTATGACTTCACTTATATGAAATTTATAAAATACAGAAATTCATAGAGGCAGAAAGTAGATTAGAGATTACCAAGGGCTGAGGGAAGAGTGTGATGGGAAATTATTGCTTAAAGGTTACTGAGTTTCTGTTTGGGGTTATAAAATGTTGAAAATAGATACTACTGATGGCTATACAACATTGTGAATGTAATTAATGTAACTAAATCATACTCTTTAAAATGGTTAAAACAGCAAATTTTATGGTATATTTTACAACAATTTAAAAAATCAATAAGTAATATAGCAAAACTACTGAATTGTATGTGTCAAAAAGGCAAATTGTGATATAAAATACATCTCAATGAAGTTGTTTTCTTTTTCAAGTTCATTTATAAATTAAAGAATATACACAAAGATTTAACTGAAAATATTAATCAGAAGATGACTTATAATAATGAAAATGGGCAAGGACAAAAAAGCAAACACCGCATGTTCTCACTCATATGTGGGAATTTAACAATGAGAACACTTGGACACAGGAAGGGGGACATCACACACCGGGGCCTGTCGCGGGGTTGGGGGAGTGGGGAGGGATAGCATTAGGAGATATACTTAATGTTAAATGACGAGTTAGTGGGTGCAGCACACCAACATGGCACGTGTATACATATATAACTAAACTGCACATTGTGCACATATACCCTAAAACTTAAAGTATAATTAAAAAAATAAAAAATAAAAATTTCATTAAAAAAAGAAAATGGGAATACAACATAAATGTTCAAAAATAGGGTACTGGTTAAATAAATTAAGGTGCTTCCTTAAAATTAATATTGTAGAAGGATATATCATATTTTGATATAAGATTGCTAAAAATATGTTGTATTATTTTAAAAAAGCAACCTACACAACAGTATATATGCTACAATTCCATCTTTTAAGAAAATATGCTATTCAAACAGAAAAAGAGAGAGCAAAAGCGATCTGTTAGAATGTGACAAATGTTTTCTTACTTGCATTTTTCAACTTTTCTATAATGGGCATGTGCTATTTGTACAAATAAAAATAAAATGGTAAATTTATTTTAAAATGATTTTTAAAATAATTAGGGCAGTATTTGTGTGTGTACATCTCTGTAGGTCTTTCATCTTGGCATTGTCTTATTAATAAGTATGTGAAGGAACATTCCTGCTAATGTCTCAATTTTGATTCTTGAGGTCTTGAAAATCATATTTTTCATGTAGTGTTTTCATTCCTAGGACTCTTATTACTATGTTGGACATATACATTTTTTTCCCTTTTCAATAAATAATATTTATCCAAATCGATTCAGTACATATTTATTGAATACTTATTATGCACTAGAAGCTGTTTTAGGTGCTGGATACAAAGAACAAAAATAACTCCTCTGCCTACATGGAGTTCACATTCTTGTGGCAGAAGTTAATAATAAGCAAGTAGACAAATAGATATAATATTCTATCAGATAATTAGAACTGCTATGAATAAAATAAAGGCTAAGGGAATTGTGAGTGATGGAGAATGCTGTGAAGCTTCTATTTAAGATTAGGTAGCCATCATGGTAACCCCATAATGCATCCAGTAAATAATCATTGGCTGCTTTCCAGAAAAATAGAGAGACAGACAGGGAGGGAGAGAGAGAGAGGTAGCTAGACATTGTGACATCGTGTATGTCTTAATGGAAGAACATGGCAAAACTCATGTAATAGTCTTACAAAATATAAAATCTAAACCCAATCAAGTCTTTGTATGTAACAATCTATTTACTGGAAATATAGGGAATGTGTAAAATGACACCTCAGTGATGGAACCAGCAAAACCCAGATGATTGAAAATACCACAGTGCAAACAATCCACTTTCTTCAACAAATAAAGTGCTAGGACATAAAAATAATGAAAGGGGGTAATGTATAGATTAAGAGAAGAGATATATCAGTCAATTGCAATGCATTGCCTTATTTGCATCCTGATTAGAAGAAAAATTGTTTTCAAAAGTCAATATGTATGAGACAGTAAGGGAAATGTGAATACTTAGTAAATATTTGATAAAAATAAGGAATCATTGTTAATCTTTTAGGTGTGATAAAGGTATTTTGGGTTTTTTTTAATTTTATTTTTTGTAATTTTATTTATTTATTTTTTTTAGATAGAGTCTCTCTCTGTTGGCCAGGCTAGAGTGCAGTGGCATGATCTCGGCTCACTGCAACCTCTGCCTCCCAGGCTCAAGCAATTCTCCTGCCTCGGTCTTCTGAGTAGCTAGGACTACAAGTGCCCGCTATCATGCCTGGCTAATTTTTGTATTTTTAGTAGAGACGGGGTTTCACCATGTTGGCCAGGCTGGTCTTGAACCCCTGACCTCAGGTAATCCGCCCGCCTTGGCCTCCCAAAGTGCTGGGATTACAGGCGTGAGCCACCGTGCCCGGCCTATTTTGGCTATTTTTAAAGATTTCTTTTTACTTTTAAATACATACTAATATATTTACAGATGAAAAGATATGCTGTCTGAGATTTACTTCAAAACAATTCAGGAGGTTACATATGGGTGAGGAATAGAGGACGATACAGATGAAACGAAATTGGCAATCAGTTGATAATTGTTTAGGCTGAGTGTTAAATACATATAGGGTTATCATAATATTCTCTCTATTTTGTATGCATTTGAAGTTTCTCATAATTAAAAGTAAAAACAAAAAAATAAAAATAGTGGTCAGGGAAGGCCTCTCTTAAGAGGTAATAATTGAGCAGAAGTCTGAAAGAAGAAAGAGAGCAATGCAGGCAAAAGTCTGAGGAGACAGCATCACTACATAAAGGAAAGTGAGTATAAAGAAGTGAGTCAGAGTTTTTATGTTCTTGGAATAGTAAGAATGCCACTATGGCTAGAGAAGAATGAGTGGAGGGGGGAATACAGAGCCTGAATAATGTAAAGTCTTAGAAACCATAGTAAATGAGTTTAGATTTTGTTCTCAGGGCAATGAGAATCCATTGGAGTATTTGAAGGAGAGTGGCATGATACGGTGTGTGTTTTTCAAAGATCAATGTAGTTGCTGTGTGGGGGATAAAATGTAGGGGGTCAAAACTACAAGTATGGTGCCAGTTTGGTGATACTGAAAGTATCAAGACAAGTCTAGACAAGAATTGATAGTGGCTTGGACTACTTGGATATAGTAATGGAGAATATGAGAAAGTGTTTTGATTTCAGATAAACTTTGAAGGTAAAACTGACAGGTGTTGTCGAAAGAGAAGGGTCAAAAACGTCTCCTTGGCTTTTGGCCCTATCAATTTAGTGAATGATAGTGACATATATTGAAATGAGAAGAAATGGGGGAGGAGTCTGTTTGGGACAGGAAGGATCAAGAGTTCTATTTTGCACATAATTAGGCATAAGCTCTGTCCAAGCAGAACTTTCAAGTTGACAGTTGCATATATGAGTCTAGGACACAGGAAGTGAGGTCAGAATATGTATCAAGCAACCACTTTGTGATAAACACTAGATTAAGAACCATGAAGTATGTACTAAAATATATTTTTATATTTTTATTATTGTTAATAACTATAAAATGATATTATTATTGTTGGTATTGTTGAATGCCCATTGAGAAACCTATAATGGGGTCGGGCATGGTGTCTCATGCCTATGATCCCAGCACTTTGGGAGGACGAGGTGGGTGGATCACATGAGGTCAGGAGTTCGAGACCAGCCTGGTCGACATTGGTGAAAACTTGTTTCTACTAAAAATACAAAAATTAGCTGGGCGTGGTGGTGCACGCCTGTAATCCCAGCTACTCAGGAGGCTGAGGCAGGAGAATCACTTGAACCCAGGAGGCAGAGGTTGTAGTGAGCCGATACTACACCACTGCACTCCAGCCTGGGTGACAGAGAGCGACTCCGTCTCAAAAACAAAACAAAACAAAACAAAAACAAAAAAAAGCTATAATGGAATTTACACAACATATATCTGCAGAACAAACAGCAATATTTACAAATTTAGAGGTTTTTACAGTGACTATAAATTAATATAAATTAACATACTGACAAAATACCCAAGGAGGGTAAGAAAATGAAGATTTAGTTGAAGATAATGTGGGGCTTATACAGCGTTTCCTGAAGAAGCTGGGAAACTAGGACTAATGAAGAGACATGATTCTTTTTCCTTTTGATAAATACCTTAAAACTAGGGTTATACAGTGTAGATTTAACTTAAGTATTCACACTGTCATGTTTTTAAGGTCACAACAAGGAAATAAGTGAGCAGTACATTTGTTATTTTTGTTTTGTTTTGTCATTCTGCCTTTACTGCGCATGCTTTACTTTAAGTGCTGTTCCACAGTTGTGCTTAAGAGTGGCTTCAGTTGAAACTTAACTAACTAGTTTCCTAGGGGAAGAAAATTTACTCCAGTAACTTGGCCTCCATTCTTCCTCACTCATGTCACAGTTTAGACAATTATGAACTTACCCAAAGATATCACTAGCACAAATTACAAAAATAAAAAGTAAAGTTCACCAGAAAGTACTCTCATGTGTTGAAATGAAAATATCTTGGGATTTAGCTACAGATACCAGAAGGTAACAGATGCATTTTAAGAAACCGAGGTTGGGAAGGATGTCACAGCATCTCTGCACCAGGGGCTTTTTTTTTCCTTAGAAAGATGGTGGTAAGTGGTTGGTATTAAGGTTAAAAGCTTGAGAAATTCTGGAATAACACTAGGTACCAGTGATTTATTTCTTTGACAATTATTAGCTCAGTAGCCATGGCTTAGTCTTTAATTACTGTCTTAAATAATAAGGCTCCACAGTCTTAAGCAAAACCTGAGAGAAAAAAAAGTCAATGAAAATAGAAAACTTGCAGATGACTGCAAACATGTGCAATTAACTCTAGGGTTCTTTGGGATTTTGTTTGTTTCTTTTGCTTGGGAAATGAATGCAGATAAAAGAACACTAAGAATGCAGATATACTCCTTAGGGCAAAGACCTTTGAAAGGTTAAGTCATTCTACTGGAAGGATTAAAGAAATCTTGTAAAAAGATTATTTTATATAAGTTTGAAGAGCACTTTTTACAGCTTTAACTGTTTAAGGAAAGATGATATTTAAATAAAGTACAAACTCATAGGCATTTTTTGTTATTATTTTCTAATATTTTGAAATACTCTTATCATCTGATTACCCATCTGTCTTTCCTTTACCTGTTGCTATTATTGAATGGCAAGGCAACTGTCCAGGCCATGGCCCTGAATTTTACATGTTTTAAAAGATCTGTTTAGGGTGATCTTTGAGAAACTAGAATCGCAGACTTTAAAAATGTTGTCAGGCCAGAAAAGGGAGCAAAAGAAAGACTTACACAGTTAAGCTTCCACTGTTTACTTCATTTTCTGTCATTCTCTAGGCAGTGTACTTGGCTCTATGTTCCTCTTGGATCCTTAGTCTGGCAGTTTCTGCTGCTTATAGCAGGGACCATACCTTATTTGTGTTTGTAGCTCCAGCACTTTTAGCAGAGCTTAGCCTTCACCAAGTATTCTAGCACTTGTCTTGAGTCCTACTTTGTGTCAGAATTTTTTCTAGATGCTATGAGATAAAACACAAGACAAGGCCGACAAAGGCATTATTCCCATGGAGCTTAAATTCCAGGTGGAAGGTAGAGCAGGGAAAATTAAAAAAAAAACACATATAAAATATCTCTGTTAGTGAAAGAATTATAAGAAAAACAATGCACGAAGTTGATGTAGAGAAGGGCAGAGGCTTACATTTTTAAGTAGGATAGTTAAGGAAAGAAGAAATTTTACCATAGACATGAATGAAATTTTAACATCAACTTGAATGAAGTTAGAGATCTGTAGTGTTGGTGGTGGGGTTACATTATAGGCAGAGGGAACAAGTCCAAAATCCAAGAGCCCTAAAGCCTAAGGCACCCTTGGTGTGTGCTCTTGGAATACCAGCGAGCCCAGTGTAGCTGAAGCACAATGAGGACAGGAAAAGTGTTGGGTAAAATGGCTCAAAAAGTTGAGGTCAAATTACATAAGGACTTTAAGGAAGCCAACAAAGAGGGAAGCTTTTTGAGCAAAGGAGGGAAGGAACATGATCTGATCTAATATACATACTGGCCAATGTGTGAGAAGGTGCCTGGGGTAGGAGGGAGTGGGCATGAGTAGAATTTGAGAGATCAATTAGGAGGCTAGTGTAAAAGCTAATAGTGGCTTAGACCAACTGGCTGTAGAAAAACTGATGATAAATGGTCTGATTTGAGATACAATTTAAAGGTAGAGCTGCCAATTGTCTTGCATCTACTTAGATTTCCAGATATCATATTTTCCAACTTTCCTCATTATGTCCCCATCTGCTGATCAAACCATGAACTCATTTTTGGCCTGAGAATGCTTGACCACTGAAATTTTAAACTTTATTATTTCACTCTCTGACTATAATAGCCTCGAATCCTTTCAGTTTTCTTTTTGCCTTCCTTCTGCTTCACTAATATTTCACCTTATTGACATCTCAGTCCTTTGACCCCCACTTGCTTTTCTATCAAGTAACCAGACCCCTTTGTCTTTCTTTCATTTATCAGTCAGCCCAGATTGCATCATCCACCATCATCATATACTATACTTCCACCAGATCAATCCTTCTCTTTTTCTCTCTCTTCAAGTCACCTAGAGACTCCCATGCCCTCAGTCTCAGCAAACTATCTCACCTGCTACTTCACAAATCATCAAATTGGAATTCCTAAACATATAACTGCATACTTATAAACTTATCCATATCCATTGCTATGGTTCGAGTGTCCCCACAAAAACTCATGTTAGATCCTTAATCACCAGAGCAGCAATGTTGTGAGGTGGAACCTTTAAGAGGTGGGGCCTAATGGCAGATGTTTGGGTCATGGGAGCTCTACCCTTATGAGTGGCTTGGTGCCATTCTTGAGGTAGTGTTTTCATTCTCAAGAGACTGGATTAGTTCTCAGGAGAAATGGATTACTTCCAACAAAAGTGGATTGTTATAAAGCAAGGATGTCCCTTGTATTTTGCCCCTTCACATGTGCCTGCTTCCCCTTTGACCTTCTGCCATGTTATGATGCATCATGAAAGCCCTCACCAGAAGCCAACCAAATGCAAGTGCCCTGCTGTTGGATTTTTCAGTCGCCAGAATTATGAGCCAAATAAGTCTGCTGTTTAAAAAATAATTACCCAGCCTCAGATATTCTGTCATATCAAAACAAAACAGACTAAGATATCCATACAAATTTTCCCTGTTTTCCATCTTCTTGCTCACTCTTCCTGTTCATTTCTAAATAATCTCTTTGTATATGCTCTGTACATGATATCCTCCCATCTCTTTAGAGTCCAGTCTCCATCATGTATTGCCTACCTCAAGTTTTCCAAAAATGTTTCCCCATCAATCCTTTATCCTCTTTATCTACCATATAATGTCTCACTTTTCCTATAGCCATTTTGAGGAAAGGGTAGTTTAAATTCACCATTGCCTCTTATTATCCAGTTACACCTCAACCCCCTTTGATTTGACTTCTGTTTTATCACTTCACTGAAATTTATTTTGCTAGGGTCAGAGTGGATCTTCCAATTGCCAAACTGAATGGACCTAATGCTAAATGACGAGTTAATGGGTGCAGCACACCAGCATGGCACATGTATACATATGCAACAAACCTGCACATTGTGCACATGTACCCTAAAACTTAAAGTATAATAATAATAAAAAAAGAGAAAAAAAAACAAATTTTAGTGTTTAGCTACCAAATAAATACCATACTTCCTTTGTCTATTCTACAAGGCCCTTGATAATGTCATCCTCATATTTCAAGGTTCACCTCCTTATCTACTTCTACATACGCTGCACTCTAGTCATGTTCAACTATTTGCAGTTCAAGAATGTGCAATGATTTTTTTTCACCTCAGCAACTTCATATATGATATTTCTCCTTTTTGGAAATCTTTTGTGTACCTGATGAATTTATGTTTCAAGACTAAACTCAAATGTGACAACTAGATGAAACTTTCTCATATCTCTCTAGTCAAAGATGAGCACCTCCTCTTCTGTACTACCATAACATCTCATAGGTATAGCACAAATTGCATCACTTGCAACTTGTAAATGTGAGATCCTGAGGTGGGGGAAACAATATTCTATTTATCTTTATATATTTATTTCCTGTTTGCATGTGATGTTTAGTATATATTCAATGAATAAATTAATGATTATTACCAATAAACATTTACTAAGGATCTACTCTTCTCAGGCACTGTGCTAGGTACTGGGCAAATCAAAGTATATGACATGGTTCTAGCCCTCAAGGGGTTCCAATCTAGTTAAGGTGACAGAAAGAATAAAAAACAGATACACAAATGAATAACAACATAGGGTAGTCTACAGTAAGTGCCAAATGAATTATAAGAACAAGTGCAATGGGACTGTGAATGAAAAAGGACTATGAAGAAGAAAGTAGTAGTTAGTGCTGGAATGGTCATAGAAAGCTTGACCTTGATTCTAAAAGACTAACAAAGTTTTGTTAGAGTAAAGGGGTGGTCATTTTGGGTGGAAGATGTGGAATGAGCAAAGATGCTAAGATAGGAATGCATGAGTTATGTTCAGGGGACTGGGAATAGAAACATCTAGTAAGAGTGAAACATTCTATCACTTTCTCACAGTGTCATCTTGAGCTTCCTTACCAGTAAAATGGGATAATATCGGTAACTATCTCATAACACATAGGATTGTTGAGGGGAATTGTATGTATGGTTGAGGGAAATATGGATGTGTATGTGTATGTATATGTATATGTATATATATATGTATATGTGTGTGTGTGTGTGTCTGACCCACTATAAGCACTAAATAAATGCTCTTTTTGTTATTATTATTAGAGAAGACAGGGAGATAAGGGCATATAGGTTGGAGCTATGTTCTAGATTACTATAAATGCTAAAGTGGGAAATTTTTACTTTATCCCCTGGTTAAAGGGAATTCCTTGAATGCTTTTTGAGCAAGGTAGTGTCTCATGTAAAATGTTGCTGTAGGAAGATTGGTGTGGGAGCGTTGTATCATATAGATTTATACACACAAAGAAGATTTAGGAAGCAATTGGAGTAGTCCACAAGTGAAGTGCTAGGGCTCTCAATATGATGATTACTATGAATTTGAAAAGGATAATGAAACACTGCAAAGAGTCTAAATGGCTCAGTGATTAGATATTGAAAGTAAGTGAAAGAGAAAATTCAGTGGACCTCCAAAATTTTAAGACTGAGTGAATAGGATAATGTAGTGGCACTGACTGTATTGCCAGGTTCACAGGTGGGGAGCGGTAGGGCACTGGATTTGGGAGAAAGAAGATTAATTTGGCTGTTTAAAGTACAATTAATATTCATTGGGTGTAAATTTGTACTACATATTGCTTTAAGGCTATGACTGATACAGACACAACAGTGCTACCCACAAAAAGTTTTCATCTAGTTAGGTAAATAATACTTAATACATAAGATAATAAAAGGCACTAAACCCAAACTTTTAGTCCAAAAAACCTGGGAAGAAAGAATATAACATATTGGTGCATTCAGAAGGTATTTCTTATTATCAGAACTCACCCTTTTTCTCTTTTTTCTTTTTTATTTTTATGGGTTTTCATAGTAGCTGAATATATATATGGGGTACATGAGTTATTTTGATACAAGGATATAATGCATAATAATCACATCAGGGTAAGTGGAATATCTATTACTTCTAGATTTATAATTTCTTTGTGTTACAAACAATCCAATTATACTCTTTTAGTTATTTTGAAATGCACAATAAATTATTGTTGACTGTAGCCACCCTGATATGCTATCAAATACCAGGTTGTATTCATCCTATCTGACTATATTTTTGTGCCCATTAACCATCTCCACTTCCCATTCACACCCCCTCCATTACCTTTCCCAGCCTCTGGTAACCATCATTCTACTCTCTACCTCCATGAATTCAACTGCTTTAATTTTTAATTCCTACAAATGAGTGAGGATATGAGAAGTTTGTTTTTCTGTGCCTGTCTTATTTTACTTAACATAATGGCCTCAAGTTCCACCTATTTTGTTGCAAATGACAGAATACTATTCCTTTTAATGGCTGAATAGTGCTGCATAGTGTATATGAACCACACTTTCTTTATCCATTAATTTGTTGATGGACATGTAGATTGCTTCCAAATCTTGACTACTGTGAATAATGCTGCAATAAACATGGGAGTGCAGATAACTCTTTGATATACTGGTTTCCTTGCTTTTGGTTATATACTTAGCAGTGGGATTGCTGAATTAAATGGTAGTTCTATTTTAGTTATTTAGGGAACCTCCATACTCTTCTTTACAGTGGCTATTTTAATTTACATTCCTACCAACTGTGTATGAGGGTTCCCTTTTCTCCACATCCTTATCAGCATTTGTTATTACCTGTCTTTTAAATAAAAGCCATTTTAGCTGGGGTGAGGTGATATCTCATTGTAGTTTTGATTTGCAATTCTCTGATAATCAATGATGTTGAGCACCTTTTCATATACCTGTTTGCCACTTTTATGCCTTCCTTTGAGAAATGCCTATTCAGATTTGCTCATTTTTTATTGGATTACTAGAATTTGTACTTTTCATCCAAGGGTTGCAGAATACACATTTTTTCTCCTCGGCACATGTCTCATTCTCAACAATAGATAAAATTAGAAATCAATAACAAGGGAAGATTTGAAAACTATTCGAGCACATGGAAATTAAGCAATATGCTCTTGAATGACCAGTGGGCCAAAGAAGAAATTAAGAGAGCAATTCAAAAATGTCTTGAAACAAATGGTAACAGAAACAAAATGTACCAAAACCTACGGGATACAACAGAAACAGCAGTAAGAGGAAAGTATATAGCTATAAGTGTCTACATCAAAAAAGTGGAAAAAATTCAAATAAACAACCTAACAATGCATATTTAAGAATGAGAAAAGCAAGAGCAAAAACCCCGCAAAATTAGTAAAAGAAAAGTAACAATAAAGGTGAGAGTAGAAAGAAATGAAAGTTTTAAAATGAAACAAATGAAGTTGTAATGAAGAAAACAATACAAAAGATCAATGAAACGAAGTTTTTTGAAAAGATAAAATCTACAAAGCTTTAGCCAGAAAAACTACCAAACAAAAGAGAAAAGACCCAAATAAATACAATCAGAAAAAAAAGAGATGTTATAACTGATACCACAGAAATTCAAAGGATTATTAGAGGCAACTATGAGCAGTTACATGCAAATACATTGGAAAACCTAGAAGAAATGGATAAATTCCTAAACACAAATAACCTATCAAGATTGAACCATGAAGAAATCCAAAACCTGACCAGAGTAATAGCAAGTAACATGACCAAAGTCATAATGAAAAATCTCCAAGCAAAGAAAAGCACAGGACTTAGTGATTTAACTACCAAATTTTACCAAACTTTAAAGGAGAATTAATACCAATCCTATTCAAACTATTCTGAAAAATAGAGGAGTAGAAAATACTTCGAAACTCATTCTATGAGGCCAGTATTACCCTGATACAAAAACCATAAAAAAGGCACATCAACAAAAGACAATTACAGACCAATAAACCTGATGAACATTAATGCAAAAAATCTTCAACGAAATACTGGCAAATCAATTGAACAACAAATTAAAAAGATCATTCATCATGACCAAGTGGGATTTATCCCAGGGATGCAAGGACGGTACAACATACACAAATCAATTGATGTGATACATTATACCAACAGAAGGAAGGGCAAAAACCATAATAATCATTTCATTTGATACAAAAAAAGCATTGATAAAATTCAACATCCTTTCACGACAAAAACTCTCAAAAAACTGGGTACAGAAGGAATGTATCTAAACACAATAAAAGCTGTATACAACAGACCCATAGTTAGTATCACAACTGAATGGGGAAAAACAGAAAGCCTTTCATCTAAGACCTGGAACAAGACAAGGATGCCCACTTTCACCACTGTTATTCAACCTAGTACTGGACATCCTAGCCAGAGCCATCAGACAAGAGAAAGATGCAAAGAGCATCCAAATTGAGGAGAAGTCAAATTATCCTTGTTTGCAGATGCTGTGATCTTATATTTGGAAAAACCTAAAGATTCCACCAAAATCTATTCAAACTGATAAGCAAATTCAGTCAAGTGGCAGGATACAAAATTAACATACGAAAGTCTTAAAAGGGATCAAAAGAGTAATCCAATTCACAGTAGCTGCAAATAAAATAAAATATATAGGAATTAACTTAACCAAAGAAGTGAAAGGTCTCTATAATGAAAACTATAAAACATTGATTCAAGAAATTGAAGAGGACACAAGGAACAAAAACATATTTTATGTTTATGGACTGAAGACTTAATACTGTAAAAATGTTCTTACTACTCAAAGCAATCTACAGATTCAATGCAATCCCTATCAAAACACCAATGACATTCTTTACAGAAATAGAAAACACAATCTTAAAATGTATACAGAACCACAAAAGATTCAGAATAGCCAAAGCTATCCTAAGCAAAAAGAACAAAACTGGAGGAATCACATTACCTGACTTCAAATTATACTATGAAGCTATAGTAAACAAAATAGCATGGTCCTCACATAAAAACAGACACATAGACCAATGGAACACAATAGAAAACCCAAAAATAAATCCACACATATACAGTAAACTCATTATTAAGAAAAGTGCTGTATTAGTCTGTATTCATGCTGCAGATAAAGACATACCTGAGACTGAGCAATTAACAAAAGAAAGGGGTTTAATGGACCTACAGTTCCACATGGCTGTGGAGGCCTCACAATCATGACAGAAGGCAAGGAGTCCAGGTAACATCTTACATGGATGGCAGCTGGCAAAAAGAGAGAGAGCTTGTGCAGGGAAACTCCCATTTTTAAAACCATCAGATCTCATGAGACTTATTCACTATCATGAGAACAGCATGGGAAAGACCTGTTCCCATGATTCAATTACCTCTCACTGGGTCCCTCTGACAACATGTGGGAATTCCAGATGAGATTTGGGTGGGGACAGAGCCAAACCATATCAGGTGCCAAGAAAATACACTGGGGAAAGGACAGTCTCTTCAATAAATCGTACTGGGAAAACTGGATATCCATATGCAGGAGAATGAAACTAGACCCCTATGTCTCAACTTATACAAAAACCAAATTGAAATGGATTAAAGACTTCAATCTAATTCCTCTAACTATGAAACTTTAAAACAGAACATTGGGGAAACTCTCCAGGATGTTGGTCTGGGAAAAAATTTTTGAGCAATACCCTAAGCACAGGCAACCGAAGCAACAATGGACAAATGGGATCACATCAATTTAGTAAGCTCCTGCACAGCAAAGAAATCAATCAACAAAGTGAAGAGTCAACTCACAGAATGGGAGAAAATATTTGCAAAGTATGCATCTGACGAGATTAATAAGCAGAATATATAAGGAGCTCAAACATCTCTATAGTCTAATAAAATGAGCCAAACACCTGAGTAGATTTTTCTCAAAAGAAGGCATACAAATGGCAAACAGGCATATGTAAGGGTGCTCAATGCAAATCATAACTACAATGAGATATTATCTCACCCCAGTTAAAGTGACTTTTAAATATTTGTATTTTAATTTCTGTGGGCACATAGTAGGTATACATATTTATAGGATATGTGAGATGTTTTGACATAAACATGTAATGCTTAATAATCATATCATGTAAAATGAGGTATCCATCTCCTCAAACATTTACCAATTGTGTTACAAATAATTCAATTATACTCTTTTAGATATTTTTAAATGTACAATTAAATTATTATTGACTACAGTCATCCTGTTGTATTATCAAGTACTAGGCTTTATTCATTCATTCTAACTATTATTGGTACCCATTAACCGTACACATCTCACCCTACTGCTCCATTAACCTTCCCAGCCTCTGGTAACCATCTTTCTACATCTATTTCCATAAGTTCAATTGCTTTGAATGTTAGATCCCACAAATAAGTGAGAACATGTTATGTTTGTTTTTCTGTGCTAGGCTTATTTAGCTTAGCATAATGACCTCCAGTTCCATTCATGTTGTTGCAAATAACAGAATCTCATTCTTTTTTATGGTTGAGTAGCACTCTGTTGTGTATAAGTACCATATTTTCTTTATGTGTTCATCTGCTGATGGGCACTTATGTGGCTTCCAATTCTTGGCTATTGTGAACATTGCTACAACAAACATGGGAGTGCAGATATCTCCTCAATATACTAATGTCCTTTCTTTCAGGCATAAAACCAGCAGGGGGATTGCTGGGTCATGTGGTAGCTCTATTTTTAGTTTATTGAGGAACCTGAAATTTTTCATCATAGTGGTTGTACTGATTTACATTCCCACCAAGAGTGTACAAGGGTTTCCTTTTTGCCACATCCTCACCAGAATTTGTCATTGCCTGTCTTTTGTATATAAGCTGTTTTAACTGGGATGAGATGATATCTCATTGTAGTTTTGATTTGCATTTCTCTGCTAATCAAAGATGTTGAGCACATTTGCCTGTTACATATACCTGTTTGCAAATTTTATGGCTTCTTTTGGGAAATGTCTCCTCAGATGTTTGGCCCATTTTTTGATTGGATTTTTAGATTTTTTTCCTGTAGAGTTGTTTGAGCTCCTTTTATAGTCTCGCTATTAATTCCCTGTCAGATGGGTAGTTTGCAAATATTTTCTCCTATTCTGTGAGTTGTTTCTCCACTTTGTTGATTGTATCCTTTGCTATGCAGATGCTATTTAACTTGATGTGATCCCATTTGTCCATTTTTGCTTTGGTTGCCTGTGCTTGTGAAGTATTACTCATGAAACCTTTGCCCAGTCCAATGTCCTGGAGAGTTTGCCCAAAGTTCTCTTTTAGTAGTTTTGTAGTTTGAAATCTTCCATTTAAGGCTTTAATTCTTTTTGTTTTGATTTTTGTATGTGTCCAGGGATGGGGTCTAGTCTCTTCTGCATATGGATATCCAGTTTTACCAGCACTATTTATTGAAGAGACTGTCTTTTCCCCAGTACATGTTATTGGCACCTTAGTCGAAATTGAATTCACTATAGGTGTGTGCATTTGTTTGTGGGTTCTCTATTCTGTTCCATTGGTCTATGTTTCTGTTTTTATGCCAGTTCTATGCTGTTTTGGTTATTGTAACTCTATAGTATAATTCAAAGTCAGGTAATGTAATTTCTCCAGTTTTGTTATTTTTCCATTTTTTGGTGTCCTCTTCAAATGCTTTCATCAGTATTTAACAGTTTTCATTATAGAGATCTTTCACTTCTTTGGTTAATTCTTAGGTACTTGATTTTATCTATAATTATTATAAATGTGATTACTTTTACAATTTCTTTTTCAGGATGTTCAGTGTTGGCCTATAGAAATGCTACTGATTTTTGTATGTTTTTTTTAATCCTGGAACTTTACTGAATTTGTTTATCAGTTCTAATAGTTTTTGGTTGTTGTTGTTTGTGGAGTCTTCAGGTTTTTCCAAATATAAGATCATAGTATCTGCAAACAGGGATAATTTGACTTTTTCCTTTCTAACTTAGATGCCCTTCATTTCTTTCTCTTGTCTGATTGCTCTAGATAAGACTTCCAGTTCTACATTGAATAACAGTGGTGAAAGTGAGCATCTCTGTTGTTTTCCAGATCTTAAAGGAAAGATTTAATTTTCTTTCCATTCATTATGATACTGGCTGCTTATCTATCATATATGGCCTTTTATTATGTTGACATATGTTTCTTCTGTAGCCAATTTTTTGAGCATTTTTATCATGAAGGATGTTATATTTTATAAAATGGTTTTTTGCATCAATTGAAATAATCACATTGTTTTCATCATCATTTTGTTCATACGATATATCCCATCGATTGCTTAGAATTTGTAGATTGCTTTTGGCAGTATGGTCATTTTTGCAATATTGATTCTACACATTCATGAGCATGGGATGTGTTTCAATTTGTTTGTGTCATCTATGATTTTATGATTTCTTTTAGCAGTGTTTTGTAGTTTTCCTTGTAGATGTCTTTTTATTCCTTTGTTAGGTATATTCATAAGTATTTTATATATTTTTGCAGCTATTGTGAAAGGGGTTGAGTTCTTGATTTGATTCTCTGCTTGGTCACTATTGGTGTATAGAAGATCTACTGATCTGTGTACATTAATCTTGTATCCAGAAACTTTGCTGAATTTTTAATCAGTTCTAAGAGCTTTCTGGAGGAGTCCTTGGGGTTTTCAATGTAAACGATCATATCATCAGCAAACAGGGACAGTTTGACTTCCTCTTTACTGATTTGGATGCCCTTTATCTCTTTTTGTCTGATTGCTCTGGCTAAGACTTCCAGTACTATGTTGAAGAGGAGTGGTGAGAATGGGCATCCTTGTCTTGTTCTCGTTCTTAGGGGGAATGCCTTCAACTTTTCCTCATTCAGTATTATGTTGGCTGTGGGTTTGTCAGATAGCTTTTATTACATTAAGATATGTCCCTTGTATCACTTCAATTCCTTTATTTCTGTTCCTTTATTTTCTTTATTTTAATTCCTTTGTTTCTGTCCTTTATTTCTTATATCCTACTGATTTCACATTTGGTTTGCTTTGATTTTCTAGTTCTCTAAGATGTTTCAACATAGTAAGGCAAAAGTACTATGTACAAAGTATTATGATTGCCTCTTCGTACTGCTTTTGCTGTATCCCACAGGTTTTAATATGTTGTGTTTCCATTATCATTTGTTTAAAAGAATTTTTCTATGTCTTTCTTAATTTATTCATTGACCCAGGGGTCATTCAGGAGCATATTGTTTAATTTCCATGTATTTGTATAGTTTCCAAAATTCCCCTTGTTATTGATTTTTAGTTTAATTCCATTATGGTCAGAGAAGATACTTGATATTATTTTAATTTTTTCAATATTTTTAAACTTGTTTTGTGGCCTAACATATGGTCTATCCTTGAGAATGATTTATGTGCTGAGGAGAATAATGAGTACCCTGCAGCCATTGTATGAAATGTTCTATAAATATCTATTAGGTCTATTTGGTCCATAGTGCAGTTTCTGTTTGTTTCTTGTTGAATTTCTGTCGGAAGATCTGTCCAGTGTTGAAAGTGAGGTGTTGCAATCTCCAGATATTATTGTATTGGGACTTATCTCTCTCTTCAGCTCTAATATTTGCTTTATATCTGGGTGCTCCAGTGTTGGGTGCATATATATTAAAAATTGTTATGTTATATATTAAAAATTGTTTGCTTTATACATCTGGGTGCTCCAGTGTTGGGTGCATATATATTAAAAATTGTTCTGTCCTCTTGCTGAATTGACCCCCTTATCATTATATAGTGGTGGTCCTTGTCTCTTCTTATAGTTTTTGTCTTTAAATCTATCTTGTCTGATATAAGCATACTACTACTTATCTTTTTTCCCATTCGTGTGAGATATCTTTTTATCTCGTTTTATTTTCAGTTTTTGTGTGTGTGTCTTCATATGTTAATTGTGTTTCTTGTAGGCAACAGATCATGGGGTCTTATTTTTTTTAATGCATTCAGCCACTCTATGTCTTTTTATTGGAGAGTTTAGTTCATTTACAGTCAATGTTATTAGTGATAAGTAAGGACTTATTCCCACCATTTTGTTATATGTTTTCCGTTGTTTTGTGTTTTCTCTTTTTTCCTTCCATCTTCTTTTCAGTGAAGGTGATTTTCTCTACTGATATGATTTAGTTTTTTGCTTTTAATTTTTTGTGTCTGTTGTATGGTGAATCAAGTTACAATAAGGCTTATAAATATTATCTTATAACCTGTTTTCTTAATCCAATAACAACACTGTTTGCTAAACAAACAAGCAAAAAAAAATACTTCTTAAGTTCTTCTCAATTGTTCAGGTTTTGTTGTTTCTACTTATATCTTATTGTACTGTCTATGTCTTGAAAAGCTTTTGTAGTTTTTTTATGGTTTCATTGTTCAGTATTTCTACTTAAGTGTAGTTTACACATCATAATTACTGTGTTATAATATTTTGTGCTTTTCTGTATACTTGCTATTACCAATGTGTTTTGTACTTTCACATGATTTCTTACTGCTTATTAACACCTTTTTCTTTCTGATTGAAGTTCTCCCTTTAGCATTTCTTTTAGGACAGGTCTGGTGTTAATGAAATTTCCCAGCTTTTGTTTGTCTGGGAAAGTCTTTATTTCTCCTTCTTGTTTGAAGAATATTTTCACCAGGTATACTATTCTAGGGTATCATTTTTTCCTGCAGCGCATTAAATATGTCATGCTACTCTCTCTTGACCTGTAAGGTTTTTGCTGAAAAGTCTGCTGCCAGATGCATTGGAGCTCTATTGCATGTTATTTGTTTCTTTTCTCTGGATGATTCTAGGATTCTTTCTTTATCTTTGACCTTTGAGAGTTTAATTAATAAACACCTTGAGGAAGTTTTCTTGGGGTTAAATCTGCTTTGTGTTCTGTAACCTTCTTGTACTTGGATATTGATATCTTCCTCTAGGTTTGGGAAGTTCTCTGTTATTATCATTTTGAATAAATTTTCTACCCCTATTTCTTTTTCTACCTTCACTTTAAGGCCCAAAACTCTTAGTTTCACCATTTGAGGCCATTTGTAGATTCTGTTGGCATTCTTCCCTGTTTTTTATACTTTTTTTCTTTTGTCTCTTCTGTGTATTTTCAAATAGACTGCCTTCAAGCTCAATAAATATTTCTTTTGCTTGATCAGTTCTGCAGTTAAGAGACTCTGATGCATTCTTCATTATGCCAGTTGTATTTTTCAGCTCCAGAATTTCTGCTTGATTTTTTAAAAAATTATTGTAATCTCTTTATTAAATTTGTCTGATGGAACTGTATATTCCTTCTCTGCATTATCTTGAATTTCTTTGAGTTTTTTTCAAAACAACTAGTTTTAATTATTTCTCTGAAAGTTCACATATCTCTATTTCTCCAAGATATGTTCCTGGTGACTTATTGAGCTCATTTGATGAGGTTAGGTTTTCCTGAATGGTCTTGATATCTGTAGAAGTTTATCTGTGTATGGGCATTGAAGAGTTAGATATTTATTATAGTCTTGTTGTATTAGCCTGTTCTCATGCTGCTATGAAGAAATACCTGAGACTAATTGATAAAGAAAAGAGGTTTAACTGACTCACAGTTCTGCATGGCTAGGAAGGCCTCAGGAAATTTACAGTCATGGTGGAAGTGGAAGCAAACACATCCTTCTTCACATGGCAGTAGGAGAAAGAAGTGCCAAGCAAAGGGGGAAAAGCCCGTAATAAAACCATCAGACCTCGTGAGAACTCACTCACTATCATGAGAACAGAATGAGGGTAACCACTCCCATGATTCAATTACCTCCCACCATGTCACTCCCATGACATGGGGGGATTATAGTAACTACAATTCAAGATGAGATTTGGGTGGGGACGCAGCCAAACCGCACCACTTCTCAAGTCTGGGCTTGTTTGTATCTGTCCTTCTTGGGAAGGTTTTCTGGATATTCAAAAAACCTTAAAACCTTGGGTGTTGTGATCTAAACTGTATCTACTTTATGAGTCACCCCAAGTCCAGTAATGTTGTGATTCTTGTAGACTCATGGAGGCACCACCTTGATGGTCTTGAACAAGATCTAGAGGAATACTCTGGATTACCAGACAGAGACTCTTATTTACTTCCCTCCCTTTCTCCAAACCAATGGACTCTCTCCCTCTCTCTCTGTTCTTAGCTTCCTGCAGCTGGCGGTGGAGTGACACAACCACCCCTGTGGCCATCACCACTATGACTGCACTTGGTCAGACCTGAAGCCAGCACAGAACTGGGTCTAACCAAGGGCCTGCTGTAATAACATACTGGCTATGGCCTATATTTGCTCATGGCCCTGGTACTCCACATTTAGCAGATTGTGAAGCCAGCCAGGCCGGTGTTTTTCCCTTAAGGGTGGCGAGTTGCCCTAGGTCCCATACAGGTCCAGAGGTGTGGTCTGGGAGGCAGGGACTAGAGACAAACCTTTGAAGCCTACTTGATGTTTTATTGTACTACAGCTGAGCTGGCACTCAAATGACAAGACACAGCCATTCTGATTCTGTCCTCCCCTCTGCAACGGCAGAGGAGCCTTATCCCATGGCCACTGCCACCACAGGCCCATGGGGAGTACTGCCACACTACTTCTGATGTTTCCTTGAGGCCCAAGTGCACTTCAGTCAGATAGGACAGTGGTCTCCCCTCTTGCCCAGAGCAGGTTCAGAAATGTCATCCAAGAGCCTCATCCTGGAATTACAGACCCTAAGATCCCACTTGGTGCTCTGTATCCCTGTGGCCAAGTTCGTACCTAAGGTGCAAGACAAACTCCCCTTTATTTTTCTCTCCACTTTTCTCAGGCTAAAGGAGTCCTGCCCTGTAGCCACCACAGCTAGGAATGTGCTGTCTCACCTGAAGCCAGCAAGTCTCAGAGTCTCAACCAAGGTACTTGATGTAGTACTTGTGTATTGCTGCTGATTATTCAGGACTCAAGGGTTCTTTAGATAGCAGGTGATAAATCCTGCCAGGACTGGGTCCTTCCCTTCAAGACAGCAGTCTCCCTTCTGTCCCAGGTGTGTCTATAAGTGTTATCTGGGAGCTAGGACTTGGAAAGGGTTGGGGGGTCTCACAACTCTGAGTAGTGCCCTATCCTACTGTGGCTAAGCTGGTATCCAAAATGCAAGACAAAATCCTCCCTACTCTTACCTCTTCCCTCCTCAAGCAGAGGAAGGGGTCACTGTTGAAGCCGTGAGCTGTGTAGCCTGGGGTTAGAGGAGGAGTGATACCAGCCCTCTTGTAGTCACTTCAGCTGATGTTTCAGTAGGTCATGTGCCCCTCCCAGTCCATTGGCTCTGGATCCAGTTCAGCACTAGGACTCACCTAGGAGTACCAGTCCTGTGGCCTAGACTGCCTTTCAAGTTTATTTGGGGTCCCAGAGCCCTTTAGTCTATGGTGGTGAGGCTTGCTGGAAATAAAGTTTAGACCACTGAGATTGGTGATTCCCCTCTGGCTGGGGCTGGTTTAAATTCTCCCTCTGTGGGCTTGCATCTGCTGAGTTTGATCCAGTTTTATTTTCTGCTATAACAGGGCATCACTGAGTTCAATGCTTAGTGAACTCAATGAATTCAATTGCTGCACTCTCCCTCTCCCCGTTGCACAGAAATGCTTTCTGCAATACACCACCACTGCTGGGAGATGGGGGTGGGTGATGTCAGTGATTCAATACCGTTTTTTTCTACCTCTTCAGTGCCTCTTTCAGAAACATAAAGCTAAAATCAAGTACTGTGAGTGCTCACCTGACTTTTGGTTCTTATGAAGGGGCCATTTTTGTGTAGATAGTACTTAAATTGTTGTCCTTATGAGGGGGATAATGAGTGGAGCCTTCTATTTTACCATCAAACTCCATCCCCAAGCTCTAAAATGGCTTCTACCCAAAAGACAGGTAATAGCAAATGCTTGTAAGGATACAGAGTAAAAGAAACACTCACATTGTTGTTCGAAATGTAAATTTGTACAACCAATATGAAGAACAGTATGGAGGTTCCTTAAATACCTAAATACAGAACTACCATATGATTCAACAACCCCACTGGTAGGTATCAGTATATCAAAGAGCTATCTGTCTTCTCTTATTTATTGCAGCACTATTCACAATAGCCAAGATTAGGAAGCAACCTAAGCATCGATCAACAGATGAATGGATAAAGGAAACATTGTTTATATAGACAATGGAGTACTAGTCAGCCATAAAAAGGAATGAGATCCTGTCTTTTGCAACAATATTTTTGGAACTGGAGGCCATTGTGTTAAGTGAAATAATCCAGGCTCAGAAAGACGAACTTCATATGTTTTCACTCATATGTGGGAGCTAAAAATTAAAACAATTGTAGTCATGGAGGTAGATAGTAGAGTGATGGTTACCAGAGGCTGAGAAGGGTACTCGGGGGGAAGGAAAGTGGGAATGGTTAATGGGTACAAAAATATAGTTAGATAGAATGAATACAATCTAGTATTTGAAAGCACAACAAGGTGATTACAGTAAACAATAATTTATTGTACATCTAAATATAACTAAAACAGTATTATCGGAATATTTGTAACACAGTCATGATAATTGCTTGAGGTGATGGATACCCCCATTTACCCTGATATGATTATTATGTGTTATATACCTGTATCAAAATATCTCATGTACCTCATAAATATGCACACCTATTGTGTACTCACAAAAATTAAAAATTAAAAAAAATTATTTGTGGGCTGCAGGAAATGTAAAGAAGTAAAGTAAAATCACTTACAGTTTCACCTCTCAGAAAAGTCAGTTAGCATGTTGGTATATTGACCTTCAGCTTGCTCTTCAGAAAATGTATACACCAGCAGTGAATTAGAATGCCCATTTGTCAACACAATCACCAATACTAAGTATTATCATTCTTTGTCATTTTTATTAAGTTCATAGGTGATAAACAATATCCCATTTTTTATTCAGTTTTTACCTCTAAGTTCTAGTGCATATGAATTTTTCCAGACTCTAGCTATATGTATTTTGTGAATTACTTTAAGTATTTCACCCATTTTTAAGTGAGTGTTCCCATTTTTTAAATGTTTTGAATCAAGGCCCATTTGAAAAAATTTCACCCACCACCATTTTAAAACTCATTGGCTAATCCTACAGTTCCTATGGATAGAAAGTACATGCTTCTGCTTATGTTCTATGCAACTTTATAACCTTTTAATCATTGATCTTTCTCATCCCTTTTGGCCATGAAGTTCTAAGTAGCTGTGGCTATTTTCCTTTCTGTTTGTTTACCATTCACTCCAGGAGGCAAAATTATGCCAGTCATTCCACTCCCCCATCAAAGATAGCTCCATTATATCGTCCTAATATTTCCCCTAAAGTAGAATGATGGCATCATCTAGACCTTCATACAAATGACAGAATAAGGGGCAATGTTAAGCCACCTCATTTGATTTCATATTAGGAAGTTCTGCTTTGTTGACTTAAGTTCTTCTAAATTGATAACCTTGACTATAAATTATGTCTATTTTTTGTACCCATTAACCATCCCCACCCCCTAACCCCCACCACCCTTTCAACAACAAAAGAGTATAATTGGATTGTTTGTAACACAAAGTATAAACGTTTGAGAAGATGCATACTTCATTCTCCATGATGTGATTATTTCACATTGCATGCCTGTATCAAAACATCTCATGTACCCAATAAATATATACACCATGTACCCACAAAAATTAAAAATAAAAATAATTTAAAAAATAAATTGATAACCTTTTCACACTGCTGCCTCTTTTAGAAATGGTGACATTATAGATATTGCTAAATGGATATGAATGTATAACTAGTTTGATAAATTTATTAGGACAGACTTACAAATTGTCATTCAACAAGGGCAAGGGAAAACTTTTTGTTCCCAAGGAAAATAGTTAAAATGTTGTTGTATGTTCTTTTTTAAAGGGTAAGTTAGAAATTTTAAAAATAATACATTTGACAAAATCAAGATGAGTGTAAAACATTAAAATAAATATGGAAGATTGTGACCAGTTTATACCTTCTCTTCCCACTCTACCATCAGACCATGTTCTATACCGGACATACATAACAAGTAAAATGATGGCAATTGTAATTCTTTTATACTGGCTTGGAAATCTTGGACAAGTGCATTTTCTAATTCAAATGCTTTGCTGTTCTAATACAGCAAGATGCTTTCGTGATGTAATTATGAAACAGACATGCTTTTCTTGACTAGCAGATGCTAATGAGATGCAGCATGGAAGATTATATTGTTTATCCACTGAAGGTCAGGGTAAAGTAGTTAGTGGACTTGGCAGCAAATGTTGCTGACAGCAGCAGGGAGAGCACCTCGTCTGGAACACAGGGTGTGAATACTGTTTATATGATTTACTAACTAGCTCCCCATTTACAGGGAATGAATTTCTTTGTTCCAACATTATTTCAAAAAAGGATTTCACCCAGCAGGCTAGACACAGCTATTCTGGTACATTTGTTACACTGAAATCTCCTCACAGTGTTTCTAAAAATGTTTACATTGAAAAGAAAATGCTGCTTCAACATGAAGCATCACACAGTGGCAGCAAAGCCCGAATTGGAAGCTGTGGACAGCCCCTCTAGCATTGCAGATGAGTTGAGGAAAAAAAATAAATAAAGTCATGCTGCTCAGATGGTAAAGACTTGTATTTGATGTGATTCATGAGGCATTGGTGTCTAGGGCAGAGCATGGAATAGTATAGCAGGTGTTTACTTTTGCAGTAAGCAATGTAGGAGCTATTATGAGTAAGAAGCAGAGGTAAGTTCTAAGAAAAATAACCTCTACATGGTGCTTAGCAATCTTCTCTAGAAGCTGAAGATACAGTTATTCCTTGATTTTTAATAAGGTTACATCTCAGTAAACCCATTGTAAGTTGAAAATATTGAAAATCAATGCATTTAATACACCTAAACTATCAAACCTAGACTATGTTAAACATGTTAAGAAAGCTTACATTAGCCTACAGATCAGTTGCTTACTCTCATGATCGAGTGACTGATTGGGAGCTGTGGCTGGCTGCCACTGCCCAGCATCACAGGAGTATCCTACTTCATGTTGCTAGTCTGGAAAAAGGCCAGAATTCAAAATTCTACGTACCATTTCTACTGAATGCATATTGCTTTTGCACCATTATGAAATCAAAAAATCCCATGTCAGGAACAGCTTATACCTGTTTCTTCAAAATCATGCAGTCATTGAGTTGGAAAGAACCTTAGATGTCCACTAGAGTTTATCAGATTGTTGACCCACGGCTGGTTTCTGTTAACTAATTGTTTCATAACAATCTTAATAAATGGATTCATGCATAGATACATCCCATGCAAGAATGCCCTTTATGGAGTTTCCTGCCAGGCCTTTGTCCAAACACCACAAGTGACAAGAAACTCACCACTTCCTGAACAGTCCATTTCAATTTTGAATAACTCTGATTATTAGGAAATTTGTTCTTATAGATCTAAAATAAGTCTCTGTGCATTTTGCTTATTTCTCCTATTGGTAATGCTTAGAGTCATGAAGGGTAAATCTAATTCTTCTTTACAAGCCCTTAATATTTTGGAAGACTGCCATTATCTTATCTTCTCCATCCAAGTTTTCTCTAGTCCTCACATTTGTTCTGATACTTCTACCCTCCTCATTATCCCCTACATGGACATACTCTTCTAGATGTGATTTTGCACAAGTAAAGCAGGACTATCATATATCTTTTTAGTAATAATAACATATTCATTGAATGCATACACTTAAACCACTCCTAAGTGTTTTACAGGAATTTTCTCATTTAATACTTGCAAAAATCTTATGAGGAAGGTATTATTATTATTATTACCCTGATTTTACAGATCTGGATACTAGGCTTTTACTAGTGCCACCTAAGATTGCATTAGCTTTTTTGTTTTGTTTCATTTTGTTTTATTAATTGATTCAAAGGCTGCTTCTCATCAGTAAAATTCCTAGATTGTTTCCCTATGAAGTGCTATCAAGTCTCAGGTCTCTGATTTTCAAAACTAAATACAGAACTTGACATGTGCACCTATTAAGTTTCTTCGTATCCATTGCATGCCATTTTTATTTTTCTTCTTTTTTCTGGGTGGGGATGCTTAGTCTATTTTTTTAACTCTGCTCTTACAAAAGTTCCCACCATTTTTCTAGCATTTTTGTAAAATTATATTTTGTTCTAAATAAATATTCAACATCTTTTACAATTTTGAGTTAATCATTCAGAATGTTAACTGCCTTTCCCAACTTTTTCCTTTTACATATATGATAAACTTGCCTTCTGTGTCTTCATCTAAAAAAAAATAAAATTGCAAAAGAGAACAGGATCATGAACAGAGCTCTATAGCGCAACATTCAATAACTCTTTCCAGAGCAACATAAATTAACACTGTTTGGGTTCTGTTGTTCATTCCACCTAATTCTGGTATTCAGCTCTCATTTCCCATCCTATTGACTCAGGTATTATGAGACACTTTGTCAAATGACTTGTTGAGATGCAATATCTGGAGCATTCCTTTTTCTACCTACCAAGTTACCCCATCCAGAATGGAAATCAGACTCCTTTGGTATGAGTTGTTTCCAACAGGCCTTTGCTGCCTCCCAGATCTCTTCTAAGTATACACAAACCATTTACAATATTACATTCTTGACTTTTTAGAAGCATTGAGGTTAAATCTTACCTGCCTACAACTTCTGAAATCTACCTCTCCAATTTTTTGACATCTTTACAGACTTTCATAATTTGTTTAAAGTTACTGACAGTGGTTCCACAACTCAATCAGCAAATTCTTTCAAGTCCCTTAGTTTTAATTTGTCTGAGTTGGAGAGCTGTAGCTGCAGAAAGAGACTTAGTGATATATTGCTATCATTTCTCCTATCTTGAGCTTTGCTTCTGTCTTCACTTCAGTAACATGGTTTCATTTTTGGTATTGATCCTCAGTTTCTTTTCTGTCCTGTCTTGTTTGTTACTGTGAAAGACAAATAAATATGTCATTGGCAATTATCTGAACAAAAATGTATTCTAAACAAGGACATTCTCAATATAACAGCTCTTTTTGGTATTGAGACTTATTGTCATCATTTCTCACTTTTATTTACAATCAAGATAGCATAAGACTAATGTCACCTAATCACATAAACACATTAAACAAATTAGATTCTGTAAACAACTGTAAATCAAAATGTGCTATGTTTATAGGAGATAGAAGTTTTGGAGAAGAAAGAAGTCACCAAAGTAAAAAATAAGCAACCAAAGTTATATGAAGTCAGTCCAATAAAATATCATAAAACATCCCAAAAGCAAGCAAGAAAAAAGAGGTGAGACATAATGAAGTTAAATATCTTACAGTTGATGATGAATGGAGACTAGAAGGAGCCTAAACTTAAGAGCAATTAATGAATTAAAAGTAAAAAAGAATTAATTAAACATTTCAGAATCAAAATGATGAATTTGGGGACAATGGAGATACAATTTTACAAGAATTGAGAAAAAAACAGAAGTTAATTCTTGGGCATTCAGTTTCCATAGACATAATATTAGTCTCTCTTTTCTCTATTATCTTCCTTTCCAAATTCTAAAGTGGCAAATAATGTCCTGTATTTGAAAAATTATTGTACTTAATTCAAAGGTAAAAGAGTTCCAATCAATCAATAATGTAATGGGATTAATAAATGCACCATAAGAATTAATGCTGAGAACATAAAGAAGTATGTAATGAGAAAGTGGTCCCAAAGCTGGATAGCAGATAGTTCTATTCCATTTGGCCTAAAACTACCAGCGAAAACTGAAACCATGGTATCTTAATCCTTCTAATACACACACACACACTACTACTACTACTACTACTACTTGTTTTCTGACTTCCAGGAACCCCATCACCTTTTGGTCTCAGATGCAGTGTCCCGCATCCAATTGGCTAAGGTTTACTCTTCTCACCAGTTTCTTAAAATTGTCTTATCCCAGGTTATTTACCCTAATGGAGGGAAGCTCTTTTTGTAATCTACATCATTTTTTCCATGAATGTGAATACTTGAGAGCTGACTGTACTACTTAAGTACAAAATCAGCTTTATCTCCTCCCATCTAAGGCTCTACTTTCATAAGATTTCTTTGCTAAGACCTGAGATCTGATAATCTTTAAAAAGAGAAACTTGGCATGACCTTTTAGAAAACAAATAATTATGGTTGTATCTATATGAGATAAACATCTGACGTGTGTCTGTTTGCAGGAACCTAGAAAAAACTGGCTGAGAACATGCCTGGGTATGGCAAATCACCATCTAATTTCCAGATTAAAGTTTTGTCTGGCAATTTTCCTTAATGTGGTAAAACATAATGGTTGAAAACAAATTTCTAATAAAGTATTTGGTAGGGCAAAGCCAGTTCATACACTTAGAAATTCAGCCTGAAAATTAGTGTCTCAGCTAGTTGCTTACTAAAAGATTTATTTGCTATTTTGTATGCAAGGTATGTGTTAGTGAATCTTTTGAATAGTTAAAGAATGTGCCAGTTTCTTGAAATTTGGTGAGCTATGCTCCAGGAACTTTTCTAAACTTCGAAGACACATTGTGTCTTAGTTCAGAATTTAGGGAAATAAGAAAATGCCTAGACATGCAGAAGAAATTAAATGACCTTTAGTGTTAACTTTAATAGTATCTGAGTCAAAGATAATGTCTCAGTGTTCAATTTTTCAATATCCTTGTGGGCAGTCATTGTATTCCATCTATGCTACTGTTACAGACAAGACATTCCAAAATAGCCTCCAGTCAGTTTCCTTTTTCAAACCAAACAGAAACACTAATTAAAATATAAAACACCTTTCATCCATCTGTGAGGTTGAATTTCATTTTTTAGAATAGATTTATTTCAAGCCCTTTCTGACTAAGCACAACATTTGATTACATTTGTGCCTTTAATCTGTGTGTGAGTGCTGAAATGAATCAAATAGGTCTTGACCTCTTTCAAAATAATTGCCTTTGCAATGATTTTTAGAAGCTAATAAAATCATGCTAAAGATAGGGCACTAGGAATAAGGAGAAGGCTAGAAAAATACTATCTTTAGAATTGAATTCTTTCAGAGGTACCTAAATACAGCAACTGCCATCATGAAGAAAAATTAATAGGTAGTCATTTATTTCCTTTTCCATTAAAAAAAATACATGAAGTGCTTAATTCAATGCCATGTGCCTTGTAGCTGCTTAAGTAAAGATGATAGTAATAATGACTATTACTTACACAGGAAACTTTTCCTGCATTAATCCCCAAACTCAACTTTCATCTTAGGCCATTTATCCTAATGAACTCATGTAATTAGCAGTAATATATAGATTACTATATATGTTTTTCGCTACACATCTGTGCATATTAGTATTTTATTAATCTGTTTTCTCCTTTAGAATTTTTTTTTAAAGTTAAGAGGAAATGATACACTTTATATAAAACACATTTAACAAATGGTAGCTATTATTAGTAGTACTTACACCTGACAATGTCCAGTTCAATTATTCTATATATTCTCCTCAAAAAAGAACATCTATGTTTCTTCCTCTTTCTTTCTTTTTTTTTTTTTTTTTGAGTCTCGCTCTGTTGCCCAGGCTGGAGTGCAGTGGCGGGATCTCGGCTCACAGCAACCTCTGCCTTCCGGTTCAAGCAATTCTCCTGCCTCAGCCTCCTGAGTAGCTGGGACTACAGGCACGCGCCACAACTCCCGGCTAATTTTTGTATTTTTTTAGTAGAGACAGGGTTTCACCATATTGGCCAGGCTGGTTTCGAACCCCTGGCCTCATGATCCGCCTGCCTTGGCCTCCCAAAGTGCTGGGATTACAGGCGTGAGCCACTGCGCCCAGCCCTATGTTTCTTTTTCCTGGTGGAAGTGCTGTGAGGCACCAGGCACACTTATACACTGATGGTAGATGTGCAATTTTGTACACTTCCAAAATGCAAATAAAAATATTTTCAAAATAATAATACCTGCCAACAGACCTACTTCAATTAATTTTTTCTAAGAGCATAATTATGAAATACAGAAAGACTTCTTTACAGAAATATTTATCAAAGATATGTTTATGAAATGTTTAACAATAAAGCATGTTGATTAAAGTATGATACAGGTGTATTAAATGGCTATTAAAATCTTCTTGAAGTGTAATACATATTGGCATTGGAATATTTATGAAAGAAACATTGCTAGTCAAAAAAGCAAATAATAAGACAGTCTGTAGAAATGATACCATCTGTTCATAAGTCTCTATACATAAGCATAAAAGAGAGACTGAAATGATATTTTTCTTCAAGTAGTGGGATTATGGGTGATTTATGTTACCTCTTTATTTTCTTATGTTCTCCTGGTTTTCTTCAGTGAGCATGCATTATTTTAGAAATTAAGGGGAAAAAGATAACAATTGATACTTTTTATCAGTAAAAGTATGAGCATGGAAGATGCCTGGAAGAGCTCTTACTCCAGCTTTATGATTCTCCAACTCTCCTTCCTTTCCTATGGAGAAAGTACCAAAAGACATTAGGTGGAATGGGGAGAGAGGGTGGGTTAAAGCTACTTGCTTTCCCATATGTCTGCTGGCAGGTTGCTACCCTGTCTCTGGTTTCTTCCTTTCAGCTCCTAAGAAATGCATCACTGGCTACAGCTCTGCCAAATGCACTACCTGTTCCTGGACAGAGGTTTTGGTCCCAGCCCTCACAGTTTTCCTGCCCTGATTAGCTGTGCTGGTCAGTAAAATTCCTTCTACTGCCCTTCCTAAAATCTTTAGCACTTAAAGGCAGCTGTGACTATAGAGCCTCACTTTCTTCCCTCTTGGATCCTCCCTCCCCACTCTGGAGATTTAAAGGCACGTAACAGAAAAATAGCCCCAGGCCACCTGATGAACCTCTTCCTGCATTGCCACTGAAATAACCAAGAAAGTAGAAGAGGAAGACAGCTTTTATAAGATTTTATTGCTCTTACCATAAGCAAAGAGGGGGAGAGAGGAGCATACACCACACACACCTGCTAAATTTCCCAAAGTAAAAGTTTTGTGACTGTTGAAAATGTGATGAATTTATCAAAAGTACCTGAAAGCAGCTATTTAATGTAAATCACACCTCTCTTTGTTTGGTGAGAGTGTGAAACTCACATTTTTAATAAGATAAACGACACAAGCAGAGCACTGTAGCATCTGTGTAATGTCAAAGATAAACAAAGCTGGACACCAGTTAAAGTAGTAAGGGTAGTTGTTGTTTTGTTTTGTTTTCCATATCCCCTCTTGAGAAAGAAAATCAGTAATAACTATTACAAAAGGGAAAAGAGTTCAGTGAGAACTGAACTCAACTGCCATTTGTACAGAGGTGACTAAGTATTTTAAAGGGAGAATGAGGGAATAGTGAGGGAGTATAAAAGGGGGCTCAGTAGAGTCAAGAAAGTGAAGAGTTACGATGGGTTAATCAGTATAAATGTAATTAGGCCAGCTGTGTCTGCTAGCTGGCTATGATGGAAGTCAGGATTCTATCCTCTCACAGAGACTGGGAGACAGAGGCCTTACCCTCAGTTGTTGGCTAGGACAAACAGCAAATTTTGGGGTCAATCTTCAGTTTTCTCAGGCAGGCACTTTATGGGTGGGGAGACATCCTACGACTTTGGCCTTGACTTGATAACAATGTTAGTGTTTTATTCAAGTCTTTATATACTAAAGTTAAGCCCTTGTAAGACTCAGAAGACCCTGGCTAGAGTTTGGTCAAGGAGAGAATCTTTTTCAGTCATCAATAAGCCTAATCGTTTTAGCCACACAATGCATATTTCTCACGATAAAGTTTTTACTCACGTATCATGTATTGTGCTAGCCTGGGGAAGGCGTTTGATGTGAAGATCAGGGAAGTCTGTTACTCTTTCTGACCCACCAAATGATATTTGTACACCTCCTTTTACTCTTTTCATTAGTATGGTGGTTCTTTAAGACTGTCTACTTTTTAAGTCTCTGATGCATGTGCCAAGGTCTCTGAGGAGAATGCAACAATGACAGGTAACATGGGGCTAACAAATAATTTATTCAATGCATTAAATCTCTGGCAAAAGAATCATAAAGCTACATCTTTCAAGTTTCTAGTTCTAACAGAATATGTTCACCTAAACTTTAAACCCATAAAATGTAATAAATATTTTTGTTATGTCTTCACACTTCATATTTTCCTAGGCTGGAAAACTTTTCTATGGAAGTATCTATTTTTTAGATTATTTTATTTTATTTTCCCCCTAACTTTTTCTGAACATTTCTATTTTCCTTGAGGTAGAGTGATGGAATTTAGACACCCATAATCAAGAAGTGTATTAGAAAAAACTGCAAAACATTAACATCTTCTAATACAAAACCATAATGTACATATCTAGAACAAAATGTCTAATACCTTTCTTGATTATGTCCATCTCTATAATGAGTTCTTAGTTATTTACCAGGATTATATCTAACATTGTAGACTTTGGTTAATTTTTCTGAAAATTCATTTATTTGAACTTAGTTATGATGAAACTCATTAATACTTCTCTATGTTCTTAGCCTTGGGATACTTTTTGAAGATTTCTCCATCGGCCTGTCAATACACCACCCAGATAGAGGTTAAGTATCTCTCACAAATATGGAAGAACAGAGGCAATGTATTGTGTAAGAAAACCTTAATTAAGGTTCAAGATGTCACAGTTTTAGCAATGTCTCTGCTACTAACTAGCTGTGTGTCACTGAAGAAATCACCTGGGACCTCTTTCCTCTTCTGTTGAGTAATTTCACCATGGACTCTCTCTTCCATATTATTTATTAAATTATTAAACATAGTATTAAACACTGTCTCCATTTATTGGATAGTCCCAAGTTCTCAATCTCCTAATGGGTAAAAAGTAAGGCTCCTTCAGAGTGGGGTGCATGTCTTTGGCTACAAAATAAAATAAGAGTCAACAAAGAATTCAAAAAGTGAATCACAACCAATCATGAGACAGGATGCACAGTCTCATGATTTTTTGTAAAGAGAACATGAAAAACAGGATGGAAATGATTAAACCAATCCAAACATACACAAGAATATACCTATTCACTTCAAATATGTCATAGACCAACCCAAGTATGCTTTTATCCTGATGGACTAAAATCAACTAAAGAAAGAAAAATTTTTATCCGAAAGTTTGTCCTTTGTATTTGAAAATGTTGTCTCTGATTTTCTTAGACAGACACATGGTCATCAGCAATATTTACATCAGATTTTTTGGGTTTTTTTTTTTGAGATGGTGTCTCTCTCTGTCGCCCAGGCTGGAGTGCAGTGGCACGATCTCAGCTCACTGTAACCTCCGCCTCCCGGGTTCAAGCGATTCTGACACCTCAGCCTCCTCAGTAGCTGAGATTACAGGCATGTGCCACCACGCCAGGCTAATTTTTGTATTTTTGTAGAGATGGGGTTTCACCATGTTGGTCAGGCTGGTCTCAGACTCCTGACCTTGTGATCCACCCGCCTCGGCCTCCCAAAGTGCTGGGATTATAGGCGTGAGCCACCGTGCCCAACCTACATCAGATTTATTTTTATTGTTTACTCTTATATTTTCCATATTGGAAAACCTCAACCTAGAACAATATTGTTCTAAAGCATCCCTTATTACTCAGTTTTTAGAATTAGCAGTGCATCCTCATAAGAATAATGGCATAAATAGTGACTTGATTTCCAGGTTAGCACACAAAAGCCAATTTTATTCATGATGTCCCTGAAGTATATTATCAATATCTTCTTTAAAAATTATAACAGTGGACATTCTTAAAGAATGGTCCAGAAAAGGTCATTCAAAATTAGAACAAATGATAGTCAAAGCCAGGATTTAGAGAGGCAGGTAGTCTGGAGTAATGTGTATGGTTGAGAATTACCTAATAGGCACCAGAAGAACACAGATCATCAGGCAAAGACAAATTAAAATTTACCCAATAGGCAACAGGAAGATAAAGGCCATCAGTTAAAACAAATTTAAACTGACCTCAGTATATTTGAGAAAAGAAGGGAAGGGAAAAGAAGAAAAGAGAAGGAAAATAGGTCTTACTGACTGGCGGGCTATTTGCCTTGCCTGAATGAACTGCAATAGGATAACCTAACCACTATTACTTCAGTTAGAGTAAGCTTAGGATAACCTAACCACTATTACTTACATTGGAGTAAGCTTTTGTGACTTTGTAACAAAGTAGTCTGTCTAATTCACTAAAAATCTAGTGTTGAGAGTATCTTCTTTCTGGCTTAAGGGAGACTCTGAGGTGTTTTACATGTACTCACAAATCACAAGTGCCCATTTCTACAGCTGATACCCACCATTCTGTCTACCACCTCTACCTCAGCTTCTTGGCCATTTGACGCTTCTATAATACCCCTCATTAAGTCACCTCTTCTGATTATTGATACATCTACACTGTTCCTTATGGCTCATTTAGATGGATAACCAAGATATTATTTCAACAGTCATGACACTGAAGTGAGGGAAAAAACCTCCTCCTGTTATCTGCTCTATTACAGGGCCATGAAGCAGAAGAACCTCATGCTTTCTGTTTCTAGTATAACTTAAGAACATGGGTTGGGTGCTGCTCTTTCATTTTATTTACCTCTTGATGAGTTACAGGACACTTTGCTCTAGGGATTTATCATAGTTTTCCAGGACATGATCAGAAGTTATTACCATCACATGGCCTTCACTGGCACCCACATTATTGCACTTAGAATCATTTTTCACACATTACCTTCACCTGGTTTCCAAACCAAGTTTGAACACCTTGACTTTCACTTTTCTCAAAGTCAGTGCCTCCACCATTAAGTCAACATTCTGAAAGAGTGCAAGTCAAGGAGTCACATTTTTCCCCTTATCTGTCAGGTATCCTTAGTCTATGGAGGCATCTATCAGCCCCAACTCATCCAGTTATTATCATACATGATGATCCTTGGCTCTGGTCTAAATAAACTACAGTTGAGGGATGCAGCAGCTCACAATGGTTTTCCTAAGATCCTGGAACCACATTTTCTAAATAAGTGATTCTTGACTTCTAGTTGCACAGAAGACAGATTTCTGAAACTTTAAATAGCTATGATAAAAGATGCTCAACATCACTAGTCAATAGAGAACTGTAAATCAAAACCAAAGTGAGATACTACTTCACACCCACTAGAATGGCCTATAATACAAAAAAAAAAGAAACAGAAAATAACAAGTGTTGACAAGAATTTTGGGAAATTGGAACCCTCATACACTGCTGGTGGGAATGTAAAATGGTGCAGCCACTTTGGAAGGCAGTTTGGTGGCTCCTCAAAAATGTAAACATAGAATTACCATATAATTCAGAAATTTCATCCCTAGGACCCTACTCAAGAACAATAAAAACACAAATGTTCACACAGAAATGCATATACAAATGTTTATAGTAGCATTACACATAACAGCCCCCAAGTGGAAACAACCCAATTTTTCATCAGTTGATGAATGGATAAACAAAATGTTGTTACATACATGCAATGGATTATTTTTAAACCATAAAAAGGAATGAAGTATTCATATAAACTGCAATGTGGTAAACCTCGAAAATATGGCAAGTGAAAGAAGTCAAACACAAAAGGCTTGTCAGATTCCACTGGTATGAAATGTCCAAGTAGGCAAATCCATAGATGCAGAAAGTAGATTAGTGGTTGCCAGGGACTGGGGAAGCAATGAAGAGTGACTACAAACAGGTAAGGGTTTTTTTTTTAGGGTGATAAAAATGTTCTGGAATTGGATAGTTATGATGGTTGCACAACTCCATGAATATAATAAAAGTCACTTAGTTGTATACTTTAAATGAGTAAACTCCATGATATGAGAATTACACCTCAATAAAAAGAAAATCTATAGAGAAAAGTAGAATGGTCATTGTCTGAGGCTGTGAGTAGAAATAGGAAATGAATGCAAATGGATAAGAGGTTTTTGAGGAATTAATGGAAGTGTTCTAAAATTAGATACTGGTGATAGCTGTACAACTCTGTAAATTTATTAAAAACTACTAAATTGTACAATTCAAATGAGTGAATTTTATTATGTAAAGTATGCCTCAATAAAACTATTTTTACATAATGTATGAACATCTGATCTTCTTCCAGACTGATTAAACAAGAATCTTTGGGAGTAATTTCTGGTTAATAATAGTTTTTAAAAGTTCCCCAGGTGATTATAACATGCAACCACAGCGTGTGGGGAAAATAATCAATTGCTCTTGAAATGGTAATAATATGGCTTATGAAATACATGGTGGAAAAAGAGTGTGTGCTGAAAAAATCACCTGAAGAAATAATGGCTGACAATTTACTAAGTTGGATGAAAGATATTAATCCACAAATTCAAAAACTTAAACAAACTTCAGGCAACATAAACCCGAAGAAATCTATTCCCAGATATCACAATAAAACTGCTGATACCTAGAAAGCTGTCAGAGAAAAATTATACATTATGCATAGTCAGGGAATATTTAAATGACTGTAGATTTCTCATCAAAAACCATGGAGGCCTAAAAGAAGTGGCACAAATATTTTTCAAGTTCTGAAATAAAAGAAAAGAGCAGTCAACCCATGATTTTCTATCCAACTAAAATGTCATTCAGAAATGACAGTAAAATAAAGATCTTCTCAGATGAAGAAACACTATGGGAATTCATAGTCAGCACACCTGGTCTAAAAGAATGGCTAAAGGAAGTTCTTGAAACAGAAAGAAATAATAAAACAAAGAAACTTAGAGCATCATATAGAAAGAACAATGTAAAGAGTAAAGATGAGTAAATACAATATATTCTTCTCCTTTGAGTCCTTTAAAATATGTTTGACTGTTTAAAATAAAGAGTATAGTATTTTTCTGATGGGGTTGTTGATGGATATTTATGTAATGTATATATAGAACTACAACAAAAAGGGGAAAGTATAAAGGATCTGCATGATGGTAAGGTTTCTACATTCCACTTGAAGTAGTAAAATATTAATTCTAAGTAGGCTATGAAATAAGTACTTTTAAATTCCTAAAGTAAATACCAAAAAAATACAAAGAGATATAGTCAGAATCATAATAGATAAAATAAAATAAAAAACAAGAATTACTCAAAATCACCCAAAACATGGCAAGAACAGAGAAACAGATAGAGAAAAAAATAGATGATACAAAAAATGAGTCATAAAATGGTAGGCCTAAATTGAGATATTCCTGGGTATTTATTCTGGAGAAATGTAAACTAATGTTCACATAAATACCTGTACAAGAATGTTTATAACAGCTCTGCTTATAATCATCAGAAACTGGAAACAGTCCTGATGTACTGCAATGAGTAAATGGCTGTACAAACTATGGTCCATTCATACAATGATCTATACAACAATAAAAAGAAAGAACAACTTAGGTAAATCTTAAAAACTCTACCTTGGGTGAAAGAAGTAAGTCTCAAAAGATTACATATTGTATGATTTTATTTATATAACATTCTTGAAAAAATAAAACTATGAGAACATAAAACAAATTAGTGGTTGTCAGGGTTTTGAGTTGGGGGAGAGTGTGACTATAAAGAGATAATACAATGAAGTTATTGGGAGTGATGAAAAAGTTCTGTATTGTGATTGTTGTGGTAGTTACACAAATATACATGAGTTAAAATTTATAGAACTGTACGCCAAAAGGAAAATAGTCATTTTTACTACAAAATAAAAACAATAGTAAGCAAACAGTTCATTGCTATTTACATGACCTTGATATTTACTTCTGTTAGTGGATCTGAATAAGATATTTTAAAATCATCATTTCTTTACAGTCTTAAGCTAATGACTTTTTAAATGATGAAACTACAAGCTATAATTAATGTTATGAATTCCCTAATTATTCTTCCCTGCTAACAATATTAACTCCTAGTCAAGCTTTAGGTGAGATAATAGCCTCAAAATTTCAGGACATTATACACTATTTGATGTGCTTTCATTAAATAATTAATTATCTGTAACACCTCTATAAAGGACAAATTTATATTTCTGTGTATGATTAGAATTGCTATCTAGAATTTAGTGCTTTTCCAGCCATTAAGATGGGGGGTTATTAAAATGGGGATAGGTGATGGAAACCTGTGCTTATGGGCATGTGGAAACCCAGATGTATTGCTCTTAAATGACAGTGTTTATGACATTTAACTAAACAGAGCTTTTCTGTTTTGGTCCTTACCTGAAAGCAAAAAGATGGTAAATAACAAGGTTACCAGTGATTCTACTGAGACAGCTGTGTCTGCAATAGCTTCTAGTTACTAGAAAATTATGGTTGCGGTACTAAAATAATCTCATTGCCCTGTCTTTTTTTCAGTAACGGTCCTGGATTTCTACTTTATCAATAGAAACCATTTTGGCTGAAAAAATATGTGTATATATTTAATACCACAATAAAATGCCCCCTTCATTGAAACTTCTGTTTGAGAACAGGAACTACCATCAGACTTGTCTTATCCAATGCACTGATAATAAATGCCTTATTGGTTTGGGTTAATGTAGCCACTTAACCAAGCTCATAAAAAGCCTATGCCATAAAAAGTGTCAGCCCTGACCATTTGGCATGTCAGAAGTTCTCATTCTGGAGGAGGCAAGGTGCAAAGACTAATGGGACTTGACACTAGTCCAAGGTGGAGACTGGAGGAAGAATCAGGGCAAAATGACTAGCGGCCTTTAGAGAGGGACACAGTCCAAATCACGAAGTCCCAGGAATGTGGAGACATAAATTGCCTCTCAAATCATCATTCATTTATTTTTTCAGCAAACAAACATTTGTTGAGTGATTACTCTGTGCTCTGCACTGTTTCAAGTGCTGGAAATACTTCAGTGAACCAGACAGCCAAAGTTCTTCTTCTCATAGAGCTTATAAATTTAGTGGGAGGAGAAAGACATGAAACAAGTAGATAAGATCATTTCAAATAGCCATAAATAATACCAAAGAAATGATACAGAGTAATATAATAGAGAGTGATATGGCTTGGCTGTGTCCCCACCCAAATCTCAGCTTGAATTGTGTCTCCCACAATTCCCATATGTTGTAGGAGGGATTCAGAGGGAGGTAATTGAATCATATGGGCCAGTCTTTCCTGTACTCTTCTTGTGATAGTGAATAAGTCTCACAAGATCTCATGAGTTTATCAGGGATTTCTGCTTTTGCTTCCTCCCCATTTTCTCTTGCCACCGCCATGTAAGAAGTGCCTTTCACTTCCCACCATGATTCTGAGGCCTACCCAGCCATGTGGAACTCTAAGTTCCATTAAACCTCTTTTTCTTCCCAGTCTCGGGTATGTCTTTATCAAGAGCATGAAAACGGACTGATACAGTAAATTTGTACCTGTAGAGTGGGGCATTGCTGAAAAGATACCCCAAAATGTGGAAGCAACTTTGGAACTGGGAAACAGGAAGAGATTGGAACAGTTTGAACGGCTCAGAAGAAGACAGGAAAATGTAGGAAAATTTGGAACTTTCTGGAGACTTGTTGAATGGCTTTGCCTAAAATGCTGAAAGCAATATGGACAGTGAAATCCAGGCTAAGATGGTCTCAGATGGAGACTTTTTGGGAACTGGAGCAAAGTTCACTCTTTTTATGTTTTAGCAAAGAGACTGGGAGAATTTTGGCCTTGCCCTAGAGATTTGTGGGAACTCAAACTTGAGAGAGATGATTTAGGGTTTCTGGCAGAAAAAATTTCTAAGCAACAAAGCATTCAAGAGGTGACTTGGGTGCTGTTACAGACATTCAGTTTTATAAGGGAAGCAGAGCATAAAAGTTTGGAAAATTTGCAGCCTGATTATGCAATAGAAAAGAAAACCCCATTTTCTGGGGAGAAATTCAAGCTGCCTGCAGAAATTAGCATTAGTAGCAAGGAGCTTAATGTTAATCCCCAAGACTGTGGAGAAAATGTCTCCAGGCCATGTCAGAGACCTTCATGGCAGCCCCTCCCATCACAGGCCTGGAGGCCCAGGAGGATAAAGTAACCTCGTGGGCCAGGCCCAGGGTCCCCATTCTGTGTGCAGCCTAGGGACTTGGTGCCCTGTGTTCCAGCTGCTCCAGCCATGGCTGAAAGGGGCCAATGTACAGCTTGGGCTGTGGCTTCAGAGGGTGGAAGCCCCAAGCCTTGGCAGCTTCCATGTGGTGTCGAGCCTGTGGGTGCACAGAAGTCAAGAATTGAGGTTTGGGAGCCTCTACCTAGATTTCAGAAGTTGTATGGAAATGCCTGGATGCCCAGGCAAAAGGTTGCTACAGGGGCAGTGCCCTCATGGAGAATGTCTTCTAAGGAAGTGCAGAAAGGAAGTGCCCCCACACAGAGTCTCTAATGGGGCACTGCCTAGTGGAGCTGTGAGAAAAGGTACACCATCCCCCAGACCCTAGAATGGCAGATCCACTGACAGCTTGCACCGTGCACCTGGAAAAGCCACAGACAAGGCCAGCCCATGAAAGAAGCCTGGGGAGAGGCTGCACCCTGCAAAGCCAAAGGGGCAGAGCAGTCCAAGATCATGGGAACCTACCTTTTGCATCAGTGTGACCTGGGTGTAAGACTTGGCATCAAAGGAGATCATTTTGGAGCTTTAAAATTTGACTACCTCGATGAATTTTGAACTTGCATGGGCCCTGTAATCCCTTTGTCTTGGCCAATTTATCCCATTTGGAATGGCTGTATTTACCCAATACCTGTACCCCATTGTATCTAGGAAGTAACTTGCTTTCTTTTGATTTTACAGGTTCATAGGCAGAAGGGACTTGCTCTGTCTTAGATGAGACTTCAGATTGCGGACTTTTAGGTTAATGCTGAAATGAGTTAAGACTTTGGGGTACTGTTGGAAAGGCATAATTGGTTTTGAAACGTGAAGGCATGAGATTTGGAGGGGCTGGGGCAGAATTATATGGTTTGGCTGTGTCCCCACCCAAATCTCAACTTGAATTATATCTCTCATAATTGCCACATATTGTGGGAGGGACTCAGGTGGAGGTAATTGAACCATGGGTGCCAGTCTTTCCCATGCTATTTTCATGATAGTGAATAAGTCTCACAGAATATGATGGGTTTATCAGGGGTTTCCACTTTTGTTCTTCCTCATTTTCTCTTGCCGCTGCCATGTAAGGATTGACTTTTGCCACCTGCCATGATTCTGAGGCCCACGCCCCCCAGTCATGTGGAACTGTAAGTTCAATTAAACCTCTTTTTCTTCCCAGTCTCAGGTGTGTCTTTATCAGCAGTGTGAAGACAAACTAATACAGAGAGTGACTGAGGATGGGACTGGGGGTGGGGTTGAGGTGGCTACTTTACATGTGAAGATCAAGGGGACATTTGAGCTGAGACCTAAATGTTAAGAAAGAGAGAGACATGAGAAGATCTAGGCTGAAAAAACAAATGCAAGAACCCTGAGATGAGAGCAAATTTGGCCAACGTGGCTAGAACATTAGAAAAGTAAGCAGAGAGGAAACAGATCACTTAAAGTTGTGAGAGACGTGGTAAGTAGTTTAAATTTTATTATTGGTAAAATGGGAACCCATCGAATAATTTTACATGAAGAGGAAATGGTTTAATTTATTTACAAAACCCCTTTGGCTGTATAGAGATTAGGTTTTACAGGGACAAGAGTGGAATCAGGGAAACCAGTTAAAGAGATGTTGCACTAATCTAGATAAAAGTTGGTGCCTTGGACAAGACCAGTGGAAGCAGAGAAAAAGGGAAGTGAATGCATGCAGGATACAATTCATAGATATTGCTGACAAGACTTGATGATTGTCTTGGACTATGAAAGAAAGAGGAATTAAAAAAATGACTTAAATTTGTACCTTGGGCAACTGTATTGAAGATAGAAGCATGTGTAGTGCCACAGGATGGGGCCAAGATGGCCAATTAAATGCAGCTGTGGTCCATGGCACTCACACACTGGAAAGAAATAGGTGAGTGAATACAGCAACTTCAACTGAAAAATCCAGGTACTTGCATTGGGACTGATCAGGGAAACAACCCATGGAGAATGAAGAAAAGGGGGGGAGCAACAACCCACCCTGGAGTGACATGTAACCAAGGGAGCCCCCACTCCCAGCCAAAGGAAGTGGTGAGTGAATGTGTGACCCCAGGAAGCCATGCTTCTCCCATGGATCTTTGTGACCCTCATATCAAGAGATCCCTTTATAAGCCCATGCCACCAGGGCCTTGGGTCCGCCACACAGAGCCATGTGGAATCTCAGTAGACCAGCTGCTCAGGCATGCACAGACACCCATAAGCTTTACATGCTCCAACCCCAGAATCCCTGACAAAGGTGACTGCAACTCAGGCAAAGTGGGAGGTCCATATATATCCATAGGAAGGGTGCCTAATCCATGGGGCTGAACAGCGTCAGTCTGTGGGCCCCACTTCCAGGGCACCTTACAAGATAAGACCCACTGGTTTGGAATTCCAGCCAGACATCAGCAGCAGGGTGGAGCCTGTCTGAGATGGGATGGAGCCCTTAGAAGGAGAGGTAGGCTGCCATCTCTGATGCTTTGTTGACTTAGCCATTCCAGCCTGTGGGCTTTGGAGAGTCAAAATGGTCTGGATGAAGAAGGATCACCCAAGAGCAGCACAGCTGCTTTGCCAGAATGTGGACAGACTGCTTCTTAAGGGGGATCCCAAACCACTCCTCCTCATGGGGTAGGTCCTCTGAACCAAGGCTTCTGGCTACCCCTACTCATATTCTACAGAGTTCTGATTTCTCCCTGGGACTGAGTGCCCAAGGGGAGGGACAGGCTGCCATCTTTGCTGTTTGGATGACTCAGCAGCTCCAGTCTATGGGCTTTGGAGAGTCCAAGTCAACTGAGACAGAGGCAGTTCCCCAGCATGATATGGCTGTTTTGTAGAGGCATGGCCAGACCGCTTTAAATGGAACCCAGATCCATTCCTCCTTGCTGGGTGAGTCCTTCCAGCTGGGTTTTCCAGCAAGCCCCACCCGTGTATTATGACTTTCAGAGTTCCAACATATCCCTGAGATGAACTGTGGGATATCCTCTGGGTTGGGGAATGGGTCAGCACTTGGCTACTTGGGCATCTTGGCTGGTCCAGCCTGTGGGCTTTGGGGAGCCCAAACTGATCAGGGGTTGAAGGAATCCTCCACACAGCATAGCTGTTCTACCGAAAAGCAGCCAGACTGCTTCTTTAAGTGAATCCCTGATCCCATTCTGCCTGACTGGGTGAGACCTGCCAACCTAGGCCTCCAGCCATCTCCTATGGGTGCATTTGAGCTGGAAACAAGTAAGTAGCTCCTGAGACACAGCTTCCAGAGGAAGAAGAAGGCTGCCATCTTTGCTGTTTCACAGCCTTTATTGGTGTACCTCTAGGTACTGGAAAAACCAAGGCAAAAATTGTCTGGAGTGGAACCCCAGCAAACCACAGCAGCCCTATGGAAGACTGGCCAGACTATTAAAATAAACAAATAAACAAACAAACAACAACAACAACAAAACTGATCCAAAGGTCAGCAACCTCAAAGATCCAGGGTAGGTAAGCACAAACGATGAGAAAGAATCAGGGCAAAAATGCTGAAAACTTAAAAAGCCTGAGTGCCCACTTTCCTCCAAATGACTGCAACACCGCTCAAGCAAGGGTACAGAACTCAGTGGAGGCTGAGATGTCTGAAATGACAGAAGTAGGCTTCAGAACGTGGATAAAAATGAACTTTATTGAGCTAAAGGAACACGTTGTAACCCAGTGTAAAGAAGCTAAGAATCAGGGTAAAACAATGCTGGAGCTGACAGACAAAATAGCCAATATAGAGAGCAACATAACTGACCTGATAAAGCTAAAAAACACACTACAAGAACTACACAATGCAATCACGAGTATTAATAGCAGAACAGACCAAGCAGAGTAAAGAATTTCAGAGCTTGAAAACTGTCTTCTGAAATAAGAGAGGCAGACAAGAATACAGGAAAAATAATGAAAAGGAATGAAAAAAATGTCTGAGAAATATGGAATTATGTAAAGAGACTAAATCTATTACTGATTGTGGTACCTGAAAGAGATGGGGAGAAGGGAACCAATTTGGAAAACATATTTCAGGGTATCATCCAGGAGAACTGTCCCAATATAGATAGGTCAACATTCAATTTCAGAAAATGCAGAGAACACCAGTAAGACACTCCCTGAGATGACCATCCACAAGACACATGATCTTCAGATGTTCCAAGGTGGGCATGAAAGAAAAAATGTTAAGTACAGCTAGAAAGAAAGGCCAGGAAATCTACATAGAGAAGCCCACCAGACTAACAGCGCAACTCTCCACAAAAGCCCTACAAGCCAGAAGAGATTGATGGCTCATATTCAACATCCTTAAAGGAAAGAATTTTCAACCCAGAATTTCATGTCCAAACAAACTAAGCTTCATAAGTGAAGGTGAAAAAAGATCCTTTTAAAACAAGCAAATACTGAGGGAATTTGTTACCACCAGTCCTGCCATACAAGAGCTCCAAAAGGACCCCCTAAATAAAGAAAGGAAAAAATGGTTAACAGCCACTAGAAAAACACAGTGAAGTACACAGACCAGTGACACTATAAAGCAACTACATAAACAAGTCCACATAATAACCAGGTAGCATCATGAAGACAGGATCAAATCAACACATAATAATACTAACCTTAAAGGTAAATGGGCTAAATGGCCCAATTAAAACACATAGAATGGCAAGCTGGATAAAGAACCAAGACCCATTGGTATGCTGTTCTTTAAGAGACTCATCTCACACCAAAGATATGAATAGGCTCAAAAGAAAGGGATGGAGGAAAATTTACCAAACAAATGAAAAGCAGAAAAAAAAAAAACCCAGGGGTTTCAATGCTACTTTCTGACAAAACAGACTTTAAACCAACAAAGATAAAAAAAAAAAAAAAAAGACAAAGAAGGGCATTACATAATGGTAAAGGCTTCAATTCAACAAGAAGAGCTAACTGTTCTAAATATACATTCACCCAGTACAGGAGTACCCAGATTCATAAAGCAAGTTCTTAGAAACCTTCAAAGAGACTTGGACTCACATGCAATAATATTGGGAGACTTGAACACCTCACTGATGACATTTGGCAGATCATTGAGACAGAAACTTAACAAAGATATTCAGGACCTGAACTCAGCTCTGGATCAAGTGGACCTGATACATATGGACAGAACTCTCCACCCAAAAACAACAGAATATACATTCTTCTCATCAGCACGTGGCACTTACTTTATAATTGATCACATAATCAGAAGTAACACAATCCTCAGCAAATGCAAAACAACTAAAATTATAATCAACAGTCACTCAGACCACAATGCAATCAAACTAGAGCACAATATTAATAAATTTACTCAACATCATAGTACTACATGGAAATTGAACAATCTGCTCCTGAATGACTTTTGGGTAAATAAAGAAATGAAGGCAGAAATCAAGAAGTTCTTTGAAACTAATGAGAACAAAAATACAATGTATCAGAATCTCTGGGATGCAACTAATGCAGTGTTGAGAGGGAAATTTATAGCATTAAATGCCCAGATGAAAAAGCTAGAAAGATCTCAAGTTAACAACCTAACATCACAACTAAAAGAACTAGAGAATCAGGAGCAAACAAACCCCAAAGCTAGCAGAAGACAAGAAATAACCAAAATCAGAGCTGAGCTGAAGAAAATAGAGGCATGAAAAACCCTTCAAAAAAATCAGTGAATCCAGGAGCTTTTTAAAAAATAAATTAATAAAATTGATAGACTACTATCTGGACTAATGAAGAAAAGACAGAAAATTAATCAATTAATTTATTAAACAAACCTGCACATCCTGTGCATGTATCCATGAACTCAAAATAAAAGTTGGAAATTTAAAAAAGAAGGCTATACATTGTTGGGGAAGTACAGATTCTTTTACTGAGGTGTGTATTAAGCTTTCTTGCCTTGCTGTAAAAAAATACCTGAGAGTGGGTAATTTATATGAAAAGAATTTTAGTTGGCTTACAGTTCTGCAGGCTGTACAGGCAGCATTGTGGCTTAAGTTTCTGGGGAGGATTCAGTGACCTTTACTCATGGCAGAAGGCAAAGTGGGAGTAGGCACTTCACATGGCAAAACTGGGAGCAAGGGAGAGTTGGGGGAGGTGCCACACACCTTTAAATGACCCAGATCTCATGAGAACTCACTCATTATTGCAAGCACAAGGATATGGTACTAAACCATTCAGAAGAAACTGCTCCTATGATCCAATCACCTCCAACCAGGCTCCACCTCCAACACTAGGGATTATATTACAACTTGAGATTTGGGCAGGGACAACATCCAAACTATATTATTCTGCCCCTGGCCTCCACCAAATCTCATGTTCTCCCGTTGCAAAATACAATACTCCCTTCACAATAGTCCCCCAAAGTCTCATCATATTTCAGCATTAACACAAAAGTCCCAAGTCCCCAGTCTCACCTGGAGATGATTTCCTTCTGCTTATAAGCCTATAAAATCAAAACAAATTATTTGCTCACAAGATACAGTGGGATTACCAGCAGTGTATAAAAATTCCTATTTCAAAAAGGAGAAATCAGCTAAAAGAAAAGAGCTACAGGCTCCATGCAAGTCTGAAACTAAGAAGGGCAGTCATTATATATTAAATGTCCAAAATAATCTTCTTTGACTCCATGCCCCACATCCAGGGAATACTGGTGTGAGGAATGGACTCTCAAGACCTTGTGCAGCTCTGTCTGTGCCCTTGCAGGGTTCAGCCTCTGCAGCTACTCTCACAGGCTGGCATTGACTGCATTCATTTTTTCCAGGTGCAGGGTGCAGGGTGTTGATGGATTTACCATTTTGGGGTCTGGAGGATGGTGACTGTCTCTCACAGTTCCACTAGGCAGTGTTCCGGTAGGAACTCTTGTGTGGCAGTTCCAACCTCACATTTTTCCTTTGAGCTACCCTAGTAGAGGTTCTCAATGAGGGCTCTGTCCCTCCAGCCGGCTTCTGCCTGAGCACTCAGGTTTTTCCATACATCCTCTGAAATCTAGGCAGAGGCTCCTATGCCTCAACTCTTGCACTCTGTTCACCCACAGGCTTAATATCACATGATATCTGAAAAGTCTTACAGCTTGCATCCTCTGAAGCAGCAGCCGAAGCTGTATATAGAGCCCTCTGAGCTGAGGCTGGAGCCAGAGTGACCCAGATGTGGGGAGCAGTGTCCCAAGGTTGCACAGGGCAGCAGGGCCCTGAATCTGGCCCACAAAACTATTCTTCTCTCCTACTAAGCCTTGGGGCCTGTAATGGGAGAAACTTTCATGAAGGTCTCTGAAATGCCTTTGAGGTGTTTTTCCCATTATCTTATTTATCAGCACTTGGATTCTTCTTGTTATGCAAATATCTGTAACAAGTGGTTGTTCAATAGCCTGCTTGAGCTTCTCTCCCAAAAAAAGCTTTTTCTTTCTCTGCCACATGGCCAGGCTGCAAATTTTCCAAACTTTTATGCTCTGCTTCCCATTTAAATATAAGTTCCAACTTTAAGTCATTTCTTTGTTCCCACATCTGAGCATAGGCTGTTAGAAGCAACCACATCTTGAACACTTTGCTGCATAGAAATTTCTTCTGCCAGATACTCTATATCATCACTCTCAACTTCAAACTTCCACATATCCCTAGGACACCAACACAATTCAGTCAAGCTCTTTGCTAAGGCATAGCACACATGATATTTCCTCCAGTTTCCAATAAGTTCCTTATTTCCACCTGAGACCTCATCTTCACTGTTCATATCACTACCAGCATTTGGTCACAACCATTTAACTATCTCTAAAAAGTTCTATACTTTCCCTCATATTCCTATCTTGTTATGAGCCTTCCAAACTCTTCCAACCTCTTCTCACTACCTAGTTCCAAAGCTGCTTCCACATTTTCAGGTATTTTTACAGCAATGCTACATGTCTCAGTACCAATTTTCTGTGTTAGGCTGTTCTTGCGTTGCTATAAAGAAATACCTGAGACTGGGTAATTTAGAAAAGAGTTAATTGACTTGTGGTTCTGCAGACTGTACAGGAAGCATGATGGCATCTGCTTCTAGGGAGGCCTCAGGGAACTTTTACACATGGTGGAAAGGAAAACAGGAACAGGAACTTCACACGGTGAAATCAGGAGCAAAAGAGAGATGGGGGAGATGACACACACGTTTAAATGACCAGATCTCATGAGAACTCACTCATTTTCACAAGGACAAGGGGATGGTACTAAACCACCAATTAAGAATCTGTCCCCATGACCCAATCACCTCCCACAAGGCCCCACCTCCAACACTGGAGATTACAATTAAACATGAGATTTGCTCAGGGAAAACATCCAAACTATACCAAGGTATGTGGAAATAAGAGCTCTGTTTTAAATGTTTTCAATTTGAGGTGCCTATTAGACATCTAACTAGGTGTGTCAAGCTGACAATTAAATATATTAAACTGGAAATCAGAAGGGAGGTTGGGGCTATAGATATAAATTTAGGAGTCACTAATATGCAAATCATAGATAAAAATGAGACTCAGTTTGTTGGATACAGGGTGTGACAGTGGATGATTCTAAAGAAGCATCCATCTCAATGTCAAGCAGTTGTTACAAATGCAAATCAAGGAACTCCATCTGAGTTCATTTACTAACAGAAAAATCCATGCCCAGTTGAGGGAAAGGTGAATTTTATTCCCAGTGCAATAGAAAACTGTTTGAGTGTTTTAAACAAGGGAGCACTACATGATTTACATTTTAAAAAAATCTTAGGGGACAAATGTGCTGAATGGATCATAAAAAAGCAAGAAAAAAAGCAGTATGTGCTAGACAGAATTCTAAGACAGTCTCCTAAGATTGCTGGGACCACCAGACCTCTGGTGTAGATGCACCTCCTCTCAGTTATTCAATCAAACACAAACCTAGTTAATTTTGTGAAGGGATTTTGCAGATGTATTAAGGTCCCATATCAGTTGACTTTAAATAAAGAGATTATATAGGTGAAGATGATCTAATCAGGTGAGTTCTTTAACAGTAAGAGAGTTTTCTCTTACTGGTAGCCAAAGAGAAAGAGAGATTCAAAGCATCAGGCACATGGGTTAGGCACCATTGCTGGCCTGAAGATGGAGAGAGCACAGAGCAAGAAAAGTAGGTGGCCTCTAGGATTTGAGAGCATTTCTAGTGGACAGCCAGCAAGGTAATTGGGACCTCAGTCTTACAACTGCAAGGAACTGAATTCTGCTCACAACAACGATCAGCTTGAAAATTGATTTTCTGAGGTTTGGAAGTTCCTAGAACTCAGTCCAGCTGACAATTAAATTTCTTCCTTTGTGACACCCTGAGCAGAGTGATATCCTGAGCATAGAACCCAGTCACACCATGCCAGACTTCTGACTTACAGACCTGTGAGCTAATAAATGGGTGTTACATTAAGATGCTAATTTTGTGGTAATTTGTTACACAGCAATATAAAATATAGTGTATTAGTTTGTTAGGCCTGCTGTAACAAAGTGCCACAAAATGGGTGGTTTAAACAACATAAAGTTATTTTCTCAAAATTCTGGAAGCTAGAAGCTGAGATTAAGGTTTTGGCAAAAATGGTTTCTTCTGAGAACTTTCTCCTTGGTTTGTAAATGGCTACCTTTTCCCTGTGTCATCACATGATACTCCCTCTGTGTGCGTGTCCTTATCTCCTCTTCTTATAAGGATATTAGTCATTAACCTACCCTAACGACCTCATTTTCATTTACCTCTTTAAAGACCCTATCTCCAAATTCAGTCACATTTTGAGATGCTAGGCATTAGAATTTCAATGTATGAATTTTGGGGGAACACAATTCAGATCATAACACACTGAGAGACTAGGAGATTTTTGTAGTGGTTCAGATGAAAAATGATAGTGCTTAAACAAAGACAATAGAGGTGGAAATAGAGAAAATTAAATAAATTCAAGATATCTTTTTAACAAATTGCTGACAGGACTTGCCAATGGATGTATGTGGGCTGTGAAGGAAAGAGTAAAGTTATAAATGACTGGACAATCTGCCCTGAGCAATTGTAATGAAGGCAGTAGAATTTCCTGAGTTATAGAACACTAGGACAGGTATAAAATTTTTTACAGGAAACTCAAAATCTTGTTTTGGTTGTGTTCAGTTTGAGATACTTATTAGATCCAAGTGAAGATGCTAAGGAGGCAGTAGAAATGTAAATCTTGAACTCAGAAGAAAGGATAGGCTGGAGATATAAAGTTGGGGGATGTCAGCATTTTGGTGTTATTAAGGCTATGAAACCAAAAGAAGTGAGTTTTTTTCTCTTTTATAAAAAATGAAGCTTCAATGTTTTTATAAAATACATAATAAAATAACACTATATTCTCATTTGATTAGCAGGTAATCTCTTTAAAAGAGATAGGGTTAATTATTATTCTGTGTTAGAAATCAGTAATGAGATTTTTAAATAACATTCAATGGCTCTAATAAGGCATCCACAGGGTGGAAGGTTCAATGGGTATGGGTGCATGTGGAGAAGGCCAACTACCTCACTTTGAGGTAAAGTGGGTATATGGGGGTAAAGATGGAGATAGATTTCAAAGTACAAAGTACTTGAAATTAATGCTAAGAAGGTCAGACTTAATTACACAAAAGATTGGTGAGACACTAAAATGTTTGGAATAGAGGCCTAGCCAACGAAACACAGTGTTTCAGAAGATTAATTTGGTTTTGGTACAATGGATGGTTGGTAAGAATGAGGGTAAGGGGGTAAGAGTGAAGAAGAAATGAATTTAGAACTTAGAAGTAGAGAGATCAATTTAAGGTTATTATGAGAAATAATTCAGGATCATGTGAAAACAGGATTCATGCAGATTTTAAAAAGTGGTAATATATTTTTCCTGGCTAGAAAAGGGCTAGTTTAACACACAGTAAGTCCTTCAAAGAATGTTGATTTCCTTCCCATTCTCTTGGACCATATCTCCAATTATTGGATCCGGGATATACAAATTAAATACTTCCCTTAAGAGTGGAATAAGATAAGAAAGTTGAATCTCCACCGGTCTCTCATGTGTTCCGTGGTTTGCTTGATATGAGAAGGCAACTAACAGTTTTGAATTACATCTTAGTAAGGTATCCCTGAGACTTCTTTTATGGGCCCTGTGCTTCCTGAAGTAAATGTTACTTCATAATGTCATTTTCCTTATTTAGTCATCAGACTCTTCCATGAGTTAATTTAAGGTATGGTCCTTAGATATAAAGCTCACTAACGCAACTTGTTTTAAATACAGAAGTTTGAATTTAAGCACTGATGTTAAGTTTGAGATCAAACTTTGTGCTTGACTTCTAGCTATATGGCTTAAGACGTTAGTAAGTAATTTTACTCTGGCAGCCAAGCCTCTTATTGCCTGGGCACTCTCATTAAAAGTCACTAATAGTCAAGACTTCCCCCAGTGACCCTGTAAATATAAGGGCTCAATTTTTATCGCTTTATGACAACTTGGGGCAATAGCTAATGAATCTACTGTGGCTGCTATATATCCCTAGTGGAGGTTCTATTTCTCTCCCAACTGGATATGAAAGGGCTCAATCACCTTGGAAACTGTCAGCTATCAGAAAAAAAAAATCCCTCCACCATTGTTTTTCATATAAGATGTCCTATATCCAATCTGGAGAGGTAAGGACTATAAACCTTAACTGAACTATGGATTCTTCCCTTTCTTCCTTTATTGGGTCTAGAGAGAATAGAAGGCAACCATTTAAAATTGCTTGTAATTTAACTGTATCTTGTGTGTCAATACATTCTTGGTAAATCTCCATTCATTGGTAGAAAAAAAGGACCTACTTCCAACCATACCTCTGGAAACTGGAAATGTAATTAGACATAGCTGCTACCTTCAAGGAGTTTCCAGTCCACTTATATCATCAAGGCAACCTTCCGTTATAGTGGTTGTTGTTGTTTTTGAAAAGGATATTTTAAGACAATTGGTCTCTACAACATAATTGTACCTAGCATTACATTTCCTTTTGGACAATGCTGGGCACATTGCCATTTGATGAATATTAACTATTGTTATAAACGTACAAAAACATTGTCAATCTATTTTCTTTGGATATGTTGGCAAATTTTTTCAGTATTCCTATCTCCTCCTTTATATTTATATTATACTGTTATAATTATTTATCCTAGCTTTTATCAGTAAGTTGCAGACTGTTTATTACTTCCATGCAATTTGAATACTCCACACTATAGTTTCATGGTGCACTTTGTCCTTTAGTAACTGGGTCATTTTCTGTTCAGTAATACCTGTTTTGAATGATCCTAACTTACTTAGTTTTACTTCTATTCTTTCATATTTCTATTTTAAACGAAACCTTATTCATGAATCTTAATAGTACCCAATAAATATTTTTAGGCTCTATGCTTTTTTTATAAGCATCCCTCAGAACCATTTTCTTCACTGCTTTCAAGGGCTTGTATGCATATAATTTTATTTTTTAAATGTTCAGTATAATAACAGACATTAAAAATGTAGCCATAACTGGCAAATATGTTGCAACATTGCTTTAAATAGGGGGAAAGTTTCTAAAAGTTTATCAATGTGGAGATTGATTTAAATGCCTCAATATATTGAAATTTCAATATGCTGATTTAAAATTTGCTCATGGTGAATTGTTTGGTGGTGAAAACACATTATAGAATATTTGTATATGTGTGTTTATGTAAAAATAGAAAGATGATAGATAGATGATAGGTAGGTAGGTAGGTAGATAGATAGATAGATAGATAGATAGATAGATAGATAGATAGATAGAAAAAGATATAAAAACATGTAGGGGAGTACTCAGAAAACTGCTAACATTATTTACCTATGGGGAGGGAGTCTGGAAGATTTCGGTTTTTACATTAAACACTAAAGTTTGAGCTTTTATGCAAGTATGTAGTTTAATATGTGAATATTGAAATAGAAAAGAAGGAAGAAAAGAGGGAGGGAAGAAGGTAGGGAATGAGAAACACAGTTACCGCCACATCATGTGGGGATATTTGAAAATCTAATCACTAGCTTCTCAATTTAGGAGATAGTAAATAGCTTAGTCAACCAAAAACTTATTCAATGACATTCGCAAAGTATCAAACTTTTGAAAACCTCATGAACATGGCAACATAAAATGAGGTAATGTCTAGGTCCCTTTCCAACACTTGGATTTAACTATCCTACCTACCAGTACTCTGCTAGGGAGTGCTAAGGGGGATATATACAGAAGTAGAATATGACAAAGGTCTCATCCTCAATAAACCATCAAACTTTTATCAAGTACTATTTTAAAATAATTTTGCAAAAGAAAATCATAGAAGTCTGAGCTGGAAGGACGTCACCAAGATGGCAGAGAAGATACCACCTTCATTTCCCCAACAAGAAAACAAATATAGACAGCTATCCACAAACCAAAATAACCCTGAAACTGCTCAAAAGCCAAATAAATAATCTGTAATGACAGTGGATCAAAAGAATGGAGAATATCCACACAGAAATGATTGCTGGCAAGATTGGCATACTTGAGATGCCAGGAATTGGTTATGAACAAAGAAGAAAGGTAGAGGCTATCTGTATCATACATGCAGCAGGAAATACTGTGGTCCCCAGCAGCCTGCTCTGCAGTGGACACTGGCATCCTTTGCCACTGAAATAACCAACAGCCATTTTACTTGGAGAAATCCAGAGACAGAGACACAGCTATACACCACTCTCACCCTCACAAGAAGAAGCTGCTGTTGAGCTGTTTCAAGAAAGAAACCTCTACCTCTTCCAACCCTGAACATCTTCCCCAATCCTCAAACCACAGCTGTCTCACAAGTGCTGCCACCTAGTCCTGGGCTCTTTAGCTTCACTGAATCTACCCCTACCCGAAACACTGTAGCCATTACCATAGCAAGCTGAAAACATTCCAAATCTGGGAGAAAATACAAATATCCAGACATAGGAAAGTCAAAAGTCTTCAATGAGGATCAATCCAAGCAAAACTACAAGGCATATTATAACCAAACTGTAAAAATTCAAAGACAAAGAGAGGATGCTGAAAGCAGCAGTAGAAAAAAAGCAGATCACATATAAAGGATATTTAATAAGGCTAGCAGAATTTTTCTCAGTAGAAACCTTATAGTCGAGGAGAGAGTGAGATGACATATTCAAAATCCTAAAGAAAAAAAAAGCCTGCCAACAAAGAATATTTTACTCAGCAAAGCTATCCCTCAGAAATGAAGGAGGGATAAAGACTACTGGACAAACAAAAGCTGTGGGAGTTCATCACCAGCAGATCTGACCTACAAGAAATGCTAAAGAAAGTCCTTCCAACTGAAAGAAAAATATCCTAATTGGTAACACAAAAGCACATGAAAGTATAAAACTCACTAGTACAAGTAAGTACACAGTTAAATTCAGAATACTCTAATACAGTAATGTTGGTGTATAAATCATATATATATCCTATATGAAGATTAAAAACAAAATTATTAAAATAACAATAGTTACAATAATTTGTTAAAAATACATAATATGAAAAGATGTAAATGCTGATATCAATATCATAAAGCAGAGAAGGATGGAATAAAAGTATAGAGTTTTTAAATACCATCATTGTTAATTTGTTATCAGCCTTATATAGCTTGTTATAGGATATTTTATGCAAATATCAGATATTTCATGGCAAACACAAAGCAAAAATCTATAATAGATACACAAAAGACAAAAAGTAGGGTATCAAAGCATACCAATGAAGAATATCTAGTCATAAAGGAGACAGAAAAAAAGAAAAAAAGGAAGAAAGAATCAACAAAATAACTAGAAAACAATGAACAAAATGGCAGTAGTAAGTCATTACCTATTAATAATTATTTTTGATGTAAATGGATTCAATAATGCAATCTAAAGACATAGAGTGGCTGAATGGACTAAAAAAAAACAAAACATGCAACTATATATTGTCTACAGAAGACTCATGTTACGGGACACAAAGAGATTGAAAGTAAAAGGATGGACAAAGATATTCCATGGAAATAGAAGCCAAAAGAGAACTAATGAAGCTATACTTACACGACATAAAATGGACTTTAAGTCAAAAACTGTAAAAAGAGATGAAAGTCTTTATATCATTATATAATAATAAAGAAGTCAATTCAATGAGAGAATATAACAATTATGAATATATATATGTACCCAAAACTGAAGAACCTAACTACATAAGGCAAATGCTTTTGATCAAAAGGGAGAGATTGGCTGCAATACAATAGTAGCTGGGGGCTTCAACACCCCACTTTCAACAACGGACATATCATACAGACAGAAAATCAACAAAGGAACATCAGATTTACACTGCACTCTAAAAAAAAAATAAAATAAAACAAGGTAAAAAATAAACTGCACTCTAGACCAAATTGATCTAACAGACCTTTACAAAACATTCCATCAAACAGCTGCAGAATACACATTCTCCCCTACTGCATATAGAACATTTTGCAGTATAGATCACATGCTAGCTTACAAAACAAGTCTTACCAAATTTAAGAAGATTAGATAGAGATTATATCAAGTATCTTTTCTGGAAAAAAGTGGGGAGGAGCCAAGATGGCTGAATAGGAACAGCTCCCGTCTACAGCTCCCAGCGTGAGCGACGCAGAAGATGGGTGATTTCTGCATTTCCATCTGAGGTACCGGCTTCATTTCACTAGGGAGTGCCAGACAGTGGGTGCAGGTCAGTGGGTGTGCACACCATGCGTGAGCCAAAGCAGGGCGAGGCATTGCCTCACTCGGGAAGCACAAGGGGTCAGGTAGTTCCCTTTCCTAGTCAAAGAAAGGGGTGACAGACGGCACCTGGAAAATCGGGTCTCTCCCACCCGAATACTGCGCTTTTCCAACGGGCTTAAAAACTGCGCATCAGGAGATTACATCCCGCACCTGGCTCAGAGGGCCCTACGCCCACGGAATCTCGCTGATTGCTAGCACAGCAGTCTGAGATCAAACTGCAAGGCAGCAGCGAGGCTGGGGGAGGGGCGCTCGCCATTGCCCAGGCTTGCTTAGGTAAACAAAGCAGCTGGGAAGCTCCAACTGGGTGGAGACCACCACAGCTCAAGGAGGCCTGCCTGCCTCTATAGGCTTCACCTCTGGGGGCAGGGCACAGACAAACAAAAAGACAGCAGTAACCTCTGCAGACTTAAATGTCCCTGTCTGACAGCTTTGAAGAGAGCAGTGGTTCTCCCAGCACGCAGCTGGAGATCTGAGAATGGGCAGACTGCCTCCTCAAGTGGGTCCCTGACCCCTGACCCCCGAGTAGCCTAACTGGGAGGCACCCCTCAGCAGGGGCAGACTGACACCTCACAGGGCCCAGGACTCCAGCAGACCTGCAGCTGAGGGTCCTGTCTGTTAGAAGGAAAACTAACAAACAGAAAGGACATCCACACCAAAAACCCATCTGTACATCACCATCATCAAAGACCAAAAGTAGATAAAACCACAAAGATGGGGAAAAAACAGAGCAGAAAAACTGGAAACTGTAAAAAGCAGAGCGCCTCTCCTCCTCCAAAGGAACGCAGTTCCTCACCAGCAACAGAACAAAGCTGGATGGAGAATGACTTTGACGAGCGGAGAGAAGGCTTCAGACGATCAAATTACTCCGAGCTACTGGAGGACATTCAAACCAAAGGCAAAGAAGTTGAAAACTTTGAAAAAAATTTAGAAGAATGTATAACTAGAATAACCAATACAGAGAAGTGCTTAAAGGAGCTGATGGAGCTGAAAACCAAGGCTCGAGAACTACATGAAGAATGCAGAAGCCTCAGGAGCTGATGTGATCAACTAGAAGAAAGGGTATCAGCGATGGAAGATGAAATGAATGAAATGAAGTGAGAAGGGAAGTTTAGAGAAAAAAGAATAAAAAGAAATGAGCAAAGCCTTCAAGAAATATGGGACTATGTGAAAAGACCAAATCTACGTCTGATTGGTGTACCTGAAAGTGACGGGGAGAATGGAACCAAGTTGGAAAACACTCTGCAAGATATTATCCAGGAGAACTTCCCCAATCTAGCAAGGCAGGCCAACATTCAGATTCAGGAAATACAGAGAACGCCACAAAGATACTCCTCGAGAAGAGCAACTCCAAGACACATAATTGTCAGATTCACCAAAGTTGAAATGAAGGAAAAAATGTTAAGGGCAGCCAGAGAGAAAGGTCAGGTTACCCTCAAAGGGAAGCCCATCAGACTAACAGCAGATCTTTCGGCAGAAATTCTACAAGCCAGAAGAGAGTAGGGGCCAATATTCAACATTCTCAAAGAAAAGAATTTTCAAGCCAGAATTTCATATCCAGCCAAACGAAGCTTCATAAGTGAAGGAGAAATAAAATACTTTACAGACAAGCAAATGCTGAGAGATTTTGTCACCACCAGGCCTGCCATAAAAGAGCTCCTGAAGGAAGCACTAAACACGGAAAGGAACAACCGGTACCAGCCACTGCAAAATCATGCCAAAATGTAAAGACCATCGAGACTAGGAAGAAACTGCATCAACTAACGAGCAAAATAACCAGCTAACATCATAATGACAGGATCAAATTCACACATAACAATATTAACTTTAAATGTAAATGGACTAAATGCTCCAGTTAAAAGACACAGACTGGCAAATTGGATAAAGAATCAAGACCCATCAGTGTGCTGTATTCAGGAAACCCATCTCACATGCAGAGACACACATAGGCTCAAAATAAAAGGATAGAGGAAGATCTACCAAGCAAATGGAAAACAAAAAAAGGCAGGGGTTGCAATCCTAGTCTCTGATAAAACAGACTTTAAACCAACAAAGATCAAAAGAGACAAAGAAGGCCATTACATAATGGTAAAGGGATCAATTCAACAAGAAGAGCTAACTATCCTAAATATATATGCACCCAATACAGGAGCACCCAGATTCATAAAGCAAGTCCTGAGTGACCTACAAAGAGACTTAGACTCCCACACATTAATAATGGGAGACTTTAACACCCCACTGTCAACATTAGACAGATCAATGAGACAGAAAGTCAACAAGGATACCCAGGAATTGAACTCAGCTCTGCACCAAGCGGACCTAATAGACATCTACAGAACTCTCCACCCCAAGTCAACAGAATATACATTTTTTTCAGCACCACACCACACCTATTCCAAAATTGACCACATACTTGGAAGTAAAGCTCACCTCAGCAAATGTAAAAGAACAGAAATTATAACAAACTATCTCTCAGACCACAGTGCAATCAAACTAGAACTCAGGATTAAGAATCTCACTCAAAACTGCTCAACTACATGGAAACTGAACAACCTGCTCCTGAATGACTACTGGGTACATAACGAAATGAAGGCAGAAATAAAGATGTTCTTTGAAACCAACGAGAACAAAGACACAACATACCAGAATCTCTGGCATGCATTCAAAGCAGTGTGTAGAGGGAAATTTATAGCACTAAATGCCCACAAGAGAAAGCAGGAAAGATCCAAAATTGACACCCTAACATCATAATTAAAAGAACTAGAAAAGCAAGAGCAAACACATTCAAAAGCTAGCAGAAGGCAAGAAATAACTAAAATCAGAGCAGAACTGAAGGAAATAGAGACACAAAAAACCCTTCAAAAAATTAATGAATCCAGGAGCTGGTTTTTTGAAAGGATCAACAAAATTGATAAACCACTAGCAAGACTAATAAAGATAAAACGAGAGAAGAATCAAATAGATGCAGTAAAAAATGATAAAGGGGATATCACCACCGATCCCCCAGAAATACAAATTACCATCAGAGAATACTACAAACACCTCTACGCAAATAAACTAGAAAATCTAGAAGAAATGGATAAATTCTTCGACACATACACTCTCCCAAGACTAAACCAGGAAGAAGTTGAATCTCTGAATAGACCAATAAACAAGATCTGAAATTGTGGCAATAATCAATAGCTTACCAACCAAAAAGAGTCCAGGACTAGATGGATTCACAGCTGAATTCCACCAGAGGTACAAGGAGGAACTGGTACCATTCCTTCTGAAACTATTCCAATCAATAGAAAAAGAGGGAATCCTCCCTAACTCATTTTATGAGGCCAGCATCATCCTGATACCAAAGCCGGGCAGAGACACAACAAAAAAGAGAATTTTAGACCAATATCCTTGATGAACATGGATGCAAAAATTCTCAATAAAATACTGGCAAACCCAATCCAGCAGCACATCAAAAAGCTTATCCACCATGATCAAGTGGGCTTCATCCCTGGGATGCAAGGCTGGTTCAATATATGCAAATCAATAAATGTAATCCAGCATATAAACAGAACCAAAGACCAAAATCACATGATTATCTCAATAGATGCAGATAAGGCCTTTCACAAAATTCAACAACCCTTCATGCTAAAAACTCTCAATAAATTAGGTATCGATAGGACATATCTCAAAATAATAAGAGCTATCTATGACAAACCCACAGCCAATATCATACTGAATGGACAAAAACTGGAAGCATTCCCTTTGAAAACTGGCACAAGACAGGGATGCCCTCTCTCACCACTCCTATTCAACATAGTGATGGAAGTTCTGGCCGGGGCAATTAGGCAGGAGAAGGAAATAAAGGGCATTCGATTAGGAAAAGAGGAAGTCAAATTGTCCCTGTTTGCAGACGACATGATTGTATATCTAGAAAACCCCATTGTCTCAGCCCAAAATCTTCTTAAGCTGATAAGCAACTTCAGCAAAGTCTCAGGATACAAAATCAATGTACAAAAATCACAAGCATTCTTATACACCAACAACAGACAAACAGAGAGCCAAATTATGAGTGAACTCCCATTCATAATTGCTTCAAAGAAAATAAAATACCTAGGAATCCAACTTACAAGGGATGTGAAGGACCTCTTCAAGGAGAACTACAAACCACTGCTCAAGGAAATAAAAGAGGATACAAACAAATGGAAGAATATTGCATGCTCATTGGTAGGAAGAGTCAATATCGTGAAAATGGCCATACTGCCCAAGGTAATTTACAGATTCAATGCCATCCCCATCAAGCTACCAATGACTTTCTTCACAGAATTGGAAAAAACTACTTTAAAGTTCATATGGAACCAAAAAAGAGCCCGCATCGCCAAGTCAATCCTAAACCAAAAGAACAAAGCCGGAGGCATCACACTACCTGACTTCAAACTATACTACAAGGCTACAGTAACCAAAACAGCATGGTACTGTTACCAAAACAGAGATATAGATCAATGGAACAGAACAGAGCCCTCAGAAATAATGCCACTTATCTACAAGTATCTGATCTTTGACAAACCTGACAAAAAGAAGCAATGGAGAAAGGATTCCCTATTTAATAAATGGTGCTGGGAAAACTGGCTAGCCATATGTAGAAAGCTGAAACTGGATCCCTTCCTTACACCTTATACAAAAATCAATTCAGGATGGATTAAGGACTTACATGTTAGACCTAAAACCATAAAAACCCTAGAAGAAAACCTAGGCATTACCATTCAGGACATAGGCATGGGCAAGGACTTCATGTCTAAAACACCAAAAGCAATGGCAACAAAAGACAAAATTGACAAATGGGATCTAATTAAACTGAAGAGCTTCTGCACAGCAAAAGAAACTACCATCAGAGTGAACAGGCAACCTACAAAATGGGAGAAAATTTTCGCAACCTACTCATCTGACAAAGGGCTAATATCCAGAATCTACAATGAACTCAAACAAATTTACAAGAAAAAAACAAACAACCCCATCAAAAAGTGGGTGAAGGACATGAACAGACACTTCTCAAAAGAAGACATTTATGCAGCCACAAAACACATGAAAAAATGCTCACCATCACTGGCCATCAGAGAAATGCAAATCAAAACCACAATGAGATACCATCTCACACCAGTTAGAATGGCAATCAGTAAAAAGTCAGGAAACAACAGGTGCTGGAGAGGATGTGGAGAAATAGGAACACTTTTACACTGTTGTTGGGACTGTAAACTAGTTCAACCCTTGTGGAAGTCAGTGTGGCGATTCCTCAGGGATCTAGAACTGGAAATACCATTTGACCCAGTCATCCCATTACTGGATATATACCCAAAGGACTATAAATCATGCTGCTATAAAGACACATGCACACATATGTTTATTGCGGCATTATTCACAATAGCAAAGACTTGGATCCAACCCAAATGTCCAACAATGATAGACTGGATTAAGAAAATGTGGCACATATACACCATGGAATACTATGCAGCCATAAAAAATGATGAGTTCATGTCCTTTGTAGGGACATGGATGAAATTGGAAATCATCATTCTCAGTAAACTATCACAAGAACAAAAAACCAAACACCGCATATTCTCACTCATAGGTGGGAATTGAACAATGAGAACACATGGACACAGGAAGGGGAACATCACACTCTGGGAACTGTGGTGGGGTGGGGGGAGGGGGGAGGGATAGCATTGGGAGATATACCTAATGCTAGATGACGAGTTAGTGGGTGCAGCACACCAGGGTGGCACATGTATACATATGTAACTAATCTGCACATTGTGCACATGTACCCTAAAACTTAAAGTATAATAATAATAAATAAATAAATAAAAGTATCTTTTCTGAACACAATGCTATAAAACTAGACATCAGTAAAAGAAGGAACTCCAACACATAGAAATTAAAAACTTGCTCCTGAATAACCAATCGGTCAATAAGGAAATAAAAAGAGAAAATTTAAAATTTCTGGAAATGAAAAGAAAAACAACATACCAAAACCTATGGTCTACACAAAAATTACTTCTAAGAGGGAAGTTTATAGCAATACCCTCTAATAAACAGCATAATACCAGAACCAGACAAGGACACACACACAAAAGAAAACCATAGACCAATATCCTTGATGAACATTGATACAAAAATCCTCAACAAAATCCTAGCAAACCAAATTCAACAGTACATTAAAAAGAACATTTGTTATGATCAAGTGGGATTCATCCCAGAGATGCAAGAATGGTTCAACATATGCATATCAATAAATGTGATAATTTACATTAAGAGAAAAAAGGACAAAAACATATGATAATTTCAAAAACACACACACAAAAAAAGCATTTGACAACATATGACATCACTTCATCATAAAGACTCTCAACAAATTAGGCATAAAAGAAATATACCGTAACCCAATACTGTATATGAAAAACCCACAGCTAACATTATATTAGATAGAAAAAAGGCTGAATGCTTTCTCCCTAAGATCTGGAAAAAGACAAGGATACCCATTTTCACAACTTTTATTCAACATCATACTGAAAATTCCTGCCAGAGAAATTAGGCAAGAGAAAGAAATAAAAGGCATCCAAATTGGAAAGGAGGATGTCAAATTGTCCCTGTTTGTGGGTGATATAATCTCATATTTAGAAATCCCTAAAGACGTCACCAAAAAAACTCTTGGAACTAGTATACAAATGTAGCACAGTTCCAAGACACAAAATCAACATAAATTAATAGTGTTTCTATATATCAGTAGTGAACTGTATGAAAAAAATATAGGAAACAACCCCATTTTCAATAGCTATGAAAACATAAGATAAGTTGGAATAAGTTTAAGGAAGTGAAAATCTCTACACTAAAAACTATAAAAACTTGAAAATATTGATAAAAGAAATTGAAAAGGACACAAATAAATGGAAAGATATCCTTTGTCCGTGGATTGGAAGAATTGTTATTGTTAAAATATTCATACTACTCAAAGTAATCTACAGATTCAAGGCAACACCTATCAAAATACCAATGTCTTTCTTCACAGATATACAACAAACAATCCTTAAAATCATATGGACCTACAAAAGACTCTGAATAGCCAAATCAATCTTAAGCAATAAGAAAAAGCTGGAGGCATCATACTACTTGACTTCAAAATATACCACATTTCTCTGGTAACAAAAAAGGCATAGTACTGGCATAAAAATGGTCACATAAACCAAGAAACAGAATTGAGAGCACAGAAGTAAATACATCTACAGCCAAGTAACTTTCCACAAAGGGGCCAAGAACACATACCAGGGGAAAGAACGAGCACTTCAATAACTGGGGCTGAAAGAAAACTGTATATCCTCACATAGAAGAATGAGGTTAGACCCCTATCTTTTACCATATACAAAAATCAACTCAAAATGGATTAAAAACTTAAAGGTAAGAACTAAACTATGTTGCTACTAGAATATAGGGGAAATGCTTCATGGCATTGTACTGAGCAAGAAGGTAAGAGCACAAAAGCAAAAATAGGCAAGTGGGATTGCATTAAACTAGAAAACGTATGCACATCAAAAGAAAGGATCAACAGTGGAGAAAATCTCCAGAATGGAGGAAAATAATTGCAAACTATACATCTGACAAGGGGTCAATATTCATAATATATAAGGAATGCAACTCAATAGCAAAAAAAATACACACAAGAAATAAAAGATTGTTTTTAAAATGGGCAAAATACCTTAATAGATATTTTTCAAAATAACACAAACATATGGCCACTGGGTCTATAAAATAATGCTCAACTTTCCTAATCATCAGGTAAATGTAAATGAAATAGGCAATGAAATATCACCTCACTTCAGTTAGAATGGCTATTATTAGAATGACAAAATATAACAAATGATGGTGACAATGTGAAGAAAAAGGTATGCTTACACTCTCCTGGAGGGAATGTAAATTAGTATAGCCATTCTGGAAAAGAGCCTGGAGGTTTCTCAAAAAATTAAAAATAGAACTATTGAGGAGGCAGGGCAAGATGACCAAATAGAAGCCTCCAGAGATTCCCCCCTGCAACAGGAACACCAAATGGAACAACTATTTACACAAAAAAAAAGCCTTCATAAGAATAAAAAATCAGGTGAGTAATCATAATACCTAAGGAAAGAGACACTGGACAGGTTAGGAAAGAGTTATGAATCACACCACCTCTCCTCCATATCCTGACAGCAGCCACCTGGAGAGGAGAGAGAATGTGTGTACTTGCAGGAAGGACAGTGTAGTTATTTTGAGACTTTGCATTGAAACTCAGTGGTACCCTGTTACAGCAGAAAGCAACATCAGGCAGAACTCAACTGGAGTCCATGGAGGAAACATTTATACTATCCCTAGCCAGAGGTAAATCATCCATCAAATACTTGTAATCTGAGTTCCAGCAAGCCCCACTACTGCAGGCTAAACTGCTCTGGGTTCCTAAATAAACTAGAAAGGCAGTCTAGGCCACAAGGACTGCAATTTCTGGGTAAGCCCTGGTGCTATGCTGGGCTTGGAGCCAGTGGACTTGGGGTGCATACAACCTTGTGAGACACCAGCCAGGGTTGCTACGAGGCTGCTTATGTTATCCCTTCTCCAATCCCAGGCATCACAGCTCACAACTCCAGGAGAAAGTCCTTCCTTCTGCTTGAAGAGAAGAGAGGGGAGAGTAAAGAACACTTTGTCTTGCGAAGTGGATGCCACTTCAGCCTCAGTAGAATAGGGCACCCGGCTGAGTTCTGAGACCCCCATTTCAGGCCATAGCTCCTGGGCAAAATGTATAGACAAACTCTGGGCCAGAAAGGAAAACACTGCCTTGAAGGGAAGAACTTAGTCCTGGAAGGATTTATTATCTGACTAAAGAGCCCTTCTATACTAAATAATCAGCAGTGATAGACAGGCAATACTCATTTTTGGCCTCGAGTGAGATTCAGAGTCATCCTGACTATAGGGGTGACTGAGCACATTCACAGCTATGGTGGCTATGAGGAGTCAGTTCTTCTGTTTGATTAAACAAGAGGGAAGAGTAAGGGGGACTTTGTCTTGCAGTTTGGGTATCAGTTTGGCAACAGTGGGCTAGAGCACCAAGCAGGTTCCTGGGGCCCCTGATTCCAGGCTGCCTTGGTTCCTTGGTGGTATTTCTGGAACTGCTTGGAGCCAGAGGGAAACCTACTACCCTGAAGGGAGAAATCCAGGCCTGGCAGCATTCACTGCAAGCTGACTGAAGAGCCCTTGGGCCTAGAGTGAAAACTGGTAGTAGCCAGGCAGTATTCACCAAATGCCTGGGGCCAGTGGTAGCCGCAAGGTGAAACTCTTCTGCTCGAGGACAGGGAGGGATGAGTGGGAAATACTTTGTTTTGTGGCCAAGATGTCAGCTCAGCTGTAGGAGAATAGAGCACCAGGTAGATTCCTAAGGTCCCCAACTTCAGAAACTGACTCCTGGATGGCATCTCTGGACCAGCCTGGGACTGGGGAGAACTCACCACTCTGAAAGGAAGAAAACAAGTCTGGCTAAATTCACCACCTGATGGTTGTAGAGCCCTTGGGCCTTGAATGAATATAGGTAGTAGCCAGGCAGTGAACAGCAGGGCCTTGGGTGCAACCCAGTGCTGTGCTGCTGGCTTTGGGTCTGATCCAGCACAGTCTCACTGGTGGAGGCTATGAGGGTACTTATTTCATTCCTCCCTGAATACCAGCACACACACACACACACACACACACACACACACACACACACACACACAGTTAGTATGGGGAAAAGTCAGGAGAGAGAACAAGAGTCTCTGCCTGGTAATCCAGAGAATCCTTCAGGATCTTACACAAGACCACCAAGATGGTAATTCTGTGAGTCTCCAGGAGCCACCGCTTTACTGGGCTTGGGGTGCCCCTAATGCAGATATGGTTGCAGTGACCACAGACTTAAATCATATCACCCAAGTTCCTTTGAATACCTAGAAAACCTTCCCAAAAAGGAAGGTTGCAAATGCCCAGAATGCGAAGACTACAATATATAGCTAACACTTCAATTCTCAGAAACTGTTGCATGTCTGCAACCATTCAGACCATCCGGGAAAACATGACCTCACCAAACAAGCTAAATAAAGCATCAGAAACCAATCCCAGGGAACCAGAGATATCTGATATTTTAGACAGATAATTCAAAATAGCTGTTTTGAGGGAGCACATTCTAAATTCAAATTAGCACATAGAAGGAATTTAGAACCCTATCAGCTAAATTTAACAAAGAGATTGAAATGATTAAAAAGAATAAAGCAGAAATTCTGGAGTTGAAAAATGTAACTGACATACCTAAAGAATGCATTAGTCTCTTAACAGCAGAATTGATCTGGCAGAAGAAAGAATTAGTGAGCTTGAACACAGTCTATTTGAAACTACACAGAGGAGACAAAAGATAAAAGAATGAGGCATGCCTACAAGATGTAGAAAATGACCTCAAAATGGCAAATATAAGAGTTATTGGCCTTAAAGAGGAAGTAGAGAGATCAGAGAAAAAATACATTGGAGCTCCAATAAGTCTGGCAGCAGACTTTTCAGTGGAAACCTGAAAGTCCAGGAGAGAGTGACATGACATATTTAAAGGGCTGAAGGAATTTAACTTCTATCCTAGAATAGTATATCCAGCAAAAGTATGCATCAAACATAAAGGAGAAATATTTTCCCAGAGAAACAAAAGCTGAGGGAGTTCGTCATTATGAAACCTGTCCCACGAGAAATGCTGAAGGGAGTTTTTCAATCTAAAAGAAAATGACACTAAAAAGCAAAAACAAAATTATCTGATGGTACAAAATTTACTGGCAATAGAAACTACAAAGAAAATTACAGAACACTGTAATTGTGGTGGGCAAACTACTCATACCTTTAGTAGAAAGACTAAAAGATGAACTGACAAATAATAATAACTCCAACTTTTCAAGACATAAATGATATAATAAGATATAAATAGAAACAACAATTGGTTAAAAATGGGAAGAAAAAATCTAGAGTTTTATTAGTTTTATCTTAGTTTGTTTTTAGTTTTGTTTATGCAATCAGTGTTAAGTTGTTTAACAGTGGTTTACAAGATAGTATTTGCAAGCCTCATGATAATCCAAAATAATAAATCAGGCAACATATACACACAAAAAAAAGCAAGAAATTAAAACATTTAATGAGAGAATATCACCTTCATTGAAAGGAAGACAGAAAAGAAGAAAGAGAAGATGACAAAAAATATAAAACAACAAAATGGCAAGAGTAAGTCCTTATCAATGGTGAGATGAAATGTAAATGGACTATGCTCTCCCATCAAAAGACATGCAATAGCTGAATAAATAAAAAACAAAACTAATGATCTGTGTCCTACAAGAAACACACTTCAACTATAAAGACACAAATAGACTGAAATTTTAAAAAGGGAAAAAGATGTATCATGCCAATGGAAAGCAAAAAAAAAAAAGTGCAGTAGCTAACCTTATAACAAAATAGATTTTAAGATAAAATTTATGAAAATGGACAAAAAAGGTCATATAATGACAAAGGGATCACTTCTGGGAGAGGATATAACAATTGTAAATGTAAATGCACTCAACATTGTAGCAACCAATTATATTAAGCAAATATTATTACAGCTAAAGAGAGAGATAGACCCAAAAGATAATAGCAGGAGAATTCAATGTTCCACTTTTAACATGGGGCAGATCAACAGACAAAAAAATTAAGAAAGAAATATCGTATTTACTCTGCACTATGGACCAAGTGAACCTAATAGATATTTACAGAACACACATGCTCAACATATGGATCATTCTCAAAGATTGACCATATGTTAGGCCCAAAGAAGGTCTTTAAAAATTCCTTACACCTTACACAAAAATTGATTCAAGATGGACTAAAGACTTAAATGTAAGACCTAAAACCATAAAAACCGTAGAAGAAAACCTAGGCATTACCATTCAGGACATAGGCATGGGCAAAGACTTCATGTCTAAAACACCAAAAGCAATGGCAACAAGAGCCAAAATTGACAAATGGGATATAATTAAACTAAAGAATTTCTGCACAACAAAAGAAACTGTCATCAGAGTGAGAAGGCAACCTACAGAATGGGAGAAAATTTTTGCAATCTAGCCATCTGACAAAGGGCTAATATTCAGAATCTACAAAGAATTTAATTAAACAAATTTACAAGAAAAAACAAACAACCCCATCAAAAAGTGGGCAAAGGATGTGAACAGACACTTCTCAAAAGAAGACATTTATTCAGCCAACAGACATATTCAAAAATGCTCATCATTGCTGGTCATTAGAGAAATGCAAATCAAAACCACAATAAGATACCATCTCACGCCAGTTAGAATGGCGATCATTAAAAAGTCAGGGAACAATAGATGCTGGAGAGGATGTGGAGAAATAGGAATGCTTTTACATTGTTGGTGGGAGTGTAAATTAATTCAACCATCGTGGAAGACAGTGTGGTGATTCCTCAAGGATCTAGAACTAGAAATACCACTTGACCCAGCCATCCCATTACTGGGTATATACCCAAAGGATTATAAATCATGCTACTATAAAGACACATGCACATGTATGTTTATTGCAGCACTATTCACAATAGCAAAGACTTGGAACCAATCGAAATGTCCATCCATAATAGACTGGATAAAGAAAATGTGGCACATATACACCATGGAATACTATGCAGCCATAAAGTGGATGAGTTTATGTCCTTTGCAGGGACATGAATGAAGCTGGAAACCATCATTCTCAGCAAACTATCACAAGGACAGAAAACCAAACACCGCATATTCTCCCTCATAAGTGGGAATTGAACAATGAGAACACATGGACACAGGGAGGGGAACAACCCACACTGGGGCCTCTTGGGGGTGGGGTGCTAAGGGAGGGATAGTATTGGGAGAAATACCTAATTTAAATGAGTTGATGGTTGCAGCAAACCAACATGGCACATGTATATCTATGTAACAAACCTGCAGGTTATGCACATGTACCCTAGAACTTAAAGTATAATAGTAATTAAAAATTCAAAAAAATGTACTTATAGCAGGTATCTTATCTGATCATAATGAGATAAATCTAGAAGTCAATAACAAGAGGAATATTGGAAACTATACAAACACACAGATATAAAACAGTATGCTCCCAAATGACCAGTGAGGAAATGAAGAAACTAAGAAAGAAATTTAAAAATTTCTTGAAACCTTTGAAAATGAAAACACAACAAACAAAACCTATGGGATACAGAAAAGGATTACTAAGAGGAACATTCATAGCAATAAGTACCTACACAAAAAAAAATGGGAAAACTTGAAATAAGTACCTAATGATACCTCTTAAGAAACTAGAAAAGCAAGAGAAAACCAAACCCCAAATTAGTAGAAGAAAACAAATAATAAAGATCAGAACAAAAGTAAATGAAATAGAAAGAAATAAAGCAATATGAAAGAGCAACAAAATGAAAAGTTGGGTTTTTGAAATGATAAACAAAAGCTACAAATCTTTAGCCAGACTAACTACAAAAGAAACAGAAGACCTAAATAAATATAATCAGAAATGAAAAAGGGCACATTACAACTGATACCAAAGAAATTCAAAGGACCATTAAAGGCTACTATGAGCAATTATGCCAAAAAATAAAAAGCCTAGAAGAAGTAAACTTTTAGAAACATACACTTTACCAAGATTGAACCATGAAGAAATCAAAAACCTGACCAGAGCAATAGCAAGTAATGAAATGAAACTAATTAAAAAAAAGTATCCCACCAGTGAAAAGTCCAGGACCTGATGGGTTCACTACTGAATTTTACCAAACATTTAAAGAAGAACTAATACCAATCCTACTCAAACTATTCCAAAAAATAGAGGAGGGTATACTTCCAAATTCATTCTATGAGGCCAGTATTACCCTGATACCAAAAAACAAAGACTCCTTAAAAAACAAAACAAAATTATATGTCAAAAATCCCTAATGAACATTAATGCAAAATTCCCCAACAAAATACTGGCAAACCAGATTCAACAACATATTAGGGAGATAATTTATTATGACCAAGTAAGATTTATGCCAGGGACATAAGGATGGTCAAACATATGCAAATGAATCAATGTGATATATCATTTCAACAGAAAGAAAGACAAAAGCCATGTGATTATTGTAATTGATGCTGATAAAGAATTTGATAAAATTCAACATCTCTTTATAATAAAAACCCTCAAAGAAACTGGGTACAGAAGGAACATACCTCAACACACTTAAATCCATAAACAGCCCCACAGATAGTATCATATTGAATGGGAAAAAATGGAAGATTTTCCTCTAAGATCTGGAACATAACATGTATGCCCCATTTTACTACTGTCATTGAAAATCATACTGAAAGTCTAAACTAGAGCAATCAGACAAGAGAAAGAAAATACATCTAAACTGGAAAGCAAGAAGTCAAATTATCCTTGTTTGCAGATGCTCTTATATTTGAAAATAAAAACAACCCTAAAGACTCCACTAAAAACGGTTAGAACTGACAAATTCAGTAATGTGGCAGGATACAAAATCAACATACAAAAGTCAGTACTATCTCTATATGCCAACATTAAACAATCTGAAAAGGAAATCGAAAAAGTAATCCCATTCACAATAGCTACAAAGAAAATAAAATACCAAGGTATTAACTTAACCAAAGAACTGAAAGATCTCTACAATGAAAACTATAGAACATTCATGTAAGAAATAGAAGAGGACACAAAGAATGGGAAGATATTCAACAATATTGAAGAATCAATGTTGTTAAAATGTCCATACTACTTAAAGCAATCTACAGAGTCAATGTAATCTCTGTCAAAATGATACAAATGACAGTCTTCACAGAAATAAAAAAAAAATCTAAAATGTATATGGAACCACAGAAGGCATAAAATAACCAAAGCTATCCTGAGCAAACATAATAAAATCAGAGGAATCACATTACCTGACTTCAAATTATACTATGGAGCCATAGTAACCAAAACAGCATGGTCTTGGCACAAAAACAGACACATAGACCAAAGGAATAGAATAGAGAACCCAGAAATAAATCCACACATCTACAGTAAACTCATTATTGAGAAAAGTGCCAGGAACATGTATTGGGGAAAGTCTCTTTAATAAATGATGCTAGGAAACTGAATATCCATATGCAGAAAAATAAAACTTGACCCCTATCTCTAGCCATATAAAAGTCAAATAAAAATGGACTAAATACTTAAATCTAAAACTTCAAACTATGATATTCCTAAAATAAAATATTGGGGGAACTCTCCAGGGCACTGATATGGGAAAATATTTCTTGAATAATACCCCAGAAGCACAGGCAATCAAAGCAAAATGGACAAATGAAATTATATCAAGTTAGAAAGCTTCTGCATAGCAAAGGAAACAATCTACAAAGTGAAGTCGTAACTCACAGGATGGGAGAAAATATTTGCAAACTATCCATATGATGAGTGATTACTAGCCAGAATATATAAGAAGCTCAAACAACTTAATAGGAATAAATCTAATAATCTGATTTAAAAATGGGAAATAGTTCTTAATAGACATTTCTAAAATGAAGAAATACAAATGGCAAAACAGGTATAAGAAAAGGTGTTCAACATTAATAAGCATCAGAGAAATGCAAATCAAAACTACAATGAACTATTATCCCACCCCAGTCAGAATGGCTTATATCCAAAAGACAGGTAGTAACAAATGCCAGCAAGGATAAGGGAGCCCTCATACACTCTTAGTGGCAATGTAAATTAGTACAACTCCTTGGAGAATGTTTAGGGGTTCTTCACAAAACTACATATGTAACTACCACATGAACGAGTAATCAAATTGATAGATTTATATCTGGAAGAAAGGGAATCAGTATATAGAAGTGATATCTGCACTTCCACATTTATTGCAGCACTGCTCACAATAGCCAAGATTTGGAAGCAACCTACGTGTCCACCACAGATGAATGTATAAAGAAAATGTGGTACATATACATACTGAAGTACTATTAAGTAATAGAAATAATTAGATCCCTTTATTTGAAACAACATAGATGGAACTGGAGGACATTTTGTTAAATGAAATAATTCAGGCAAAGGAAGACAAATTTTGCATGTTTTCACTTATTTGTGGGAGCCGAAAGTAAAACTACCAATCTTACGGAGACTGTGAGTAGAAAGATGTTTACCTGAGGCTGAAAATAGTCCGGGGGTTGAGGAAATAGGGATTGTTAATGGGTGGAAAAATATTGTTAGAATGAATAAGATCTAGTACAACAGGGTGACTACAATCAACAATAATTTATTGTCCACTGTAAAAAAATTAGAAGAGTATAATTAGATTGCTTGTAACACAAAGAAAAGATAAATGCCTGAAGTGATGGGTACCCCATGTACCTTGAAATATGATTACTATACATTGTATGCTTGTATCAAAATATCTCATATACCCTATAAACGTATACACCTATTATGTACCCACAATATTTTTTGTAAATAGCCAATAAAAATGTTGAGGCTCTGTGAAAATATATGCCTACCACATGATCCATCATTCTCACTATTGGGTATATATTTTTAAAAAATGGAATCAGTGTGTTGATATCTGCACTATCATGTTAATTGCAGCATTGTTCACACTAGTCAAGATATAGGATCAACCTCATGTCCATCAACGGATCAATAGATAAAAAATGGTATACATACAGAAAGGAATACTATTCAGGCAAAAAAAAGTATTCTGTCATTTTGACAACATTGATAATCCTGGAGGACATCATATTAAGTGAAATAAGCCAGGCAGAGAAATAGAGAAATATAAATAACACCTGATCTCTGATCTCACTCATATGTGGAATCTAAACAAGCTGATCTTGTAGAAGTAGAAAGTATAGCAGCAGTGCTTACCAGAGAATGGGGAGGGCAAAAGGGAGGGGACAATGAAGAGTATTGGTTCTGGGGTATAAGTTACATTTAGAGGAATACATTCTGGTGTCCTATTGCACAATAGGGTGACTATAGTCTAAAATGACTATACATAGTAATGTACTGTATATTTAAAAATAGCCAGAAGAGAGAATTTTAAATGTTCTCATCACAAATAAATGATAAATGTTTGAGGTGATGGATATACTAATTACCCTGATTGGATCATTGCACAATGTTTGAGGTGATGGATATACTAATTATCCTGATTTGATCATTGCACAACGTATACATGTATTGAAACATCACAATGTGCTCTATAAATAGGTTTAGTTATTATATTTCAATTAAAAATTATTTAAAGGGTGTGGCTGTGTTTTAGTACAATTTTGTAAAAATAAATAATGGGTTGGATTTGGTCAATGAGTTGCAGTTTGCAAAATCCTGCTTGAATCGATCAATGTATGAATTATACTGCTTGCTTTTTAAAATGTTAAATCAGTCTTGCATTCCTGGGATTAACCAAACTTGGTTATAAAGCATTATGTTGTTATAACTGTTTAATTTAGACCAAGCATGGTGGCTCACGCCTGTAATCTTTGAGTTCAGGAGTTTGAGATGAGCCTGGGCAACATGGTGAAACCCTGTCTCTACCAAAAACACAAAAAATTAGCCTGATTTGTTGGTGTGCACCTATAGTCCCAGCTACTCGGGGGGCTGTGCTGGAAGGGTCGCTTGAGCCCAGGAAGTCGAGGCTGCAGTGAGCCGAGATCGCACCACTGCACTCCAGCCTGGGTGACAAAGTGAGACCCTGTCTCAAAAAAAAAAAAAAAAAAGTTTCATTTAGATTTCTGATTTTTGACTTAGGATTTTTTATCTATGTGGAAGTATGAACTTGGCCTATAAGATTTTTTTTGCCATACTGCCTTTTTCAGATTATTAAATTATGTTATTTTACTCTCTTAAAATGAGTGGCTGAAAAGATATACTCTTCCTATCTTCTAAAAAAAAAACTTCCATATTATTTAAATTATGTCTTTTTTGATGTCTGGTAGAACTTGCTATTGAAACTATTGTGACCTGAAATTTTTTTTGTGGATATAATGTTGTATAAAAAATTCAGAATCAAATTCTTCAGTGGTCAAATTTTCCATTTTTTCTTGAGTCAGTAGAAGTTGTTGAAGGGGGTGGATCAAGATGGCAGAATAGAAGCCTCTATCAATCATCCCTCCTGCAAGGACATCAAGTTACTAACTATCTACACAGAAAAAAACACCTTCATAAGTACCAAAAATCAGGCAAGCACTCATAGTACCTCGCTGTAACTTCATATCCCTGAAAGAGGCACTGGAAAAATAGAAAAAGAACAGTCTTGAATCACCGACACCACCCCTCCCCAGCACGTGGCATGGTGCAGAGAGCATTTCTGGGCACTGAAGAAGCGAGAACACAGCAATTGTGAGGCATTGAACTCAGTGCTGTTCTGTTAGAGCAAACAGAAAAACTGGATCGAACTCAGCTGACACCTGCCCATGGAGGGAGCATTTAAACTAGCCCTAGTCAGAGGGGAATCACTGATCCCAGGGTTCCACACTTGAGTTTCCTCAAACCTTGCTACGAATGGTCAAAGTGCTTTTGGTCTCTAAGTAAACTTGAAAGGCAGTCTAGGCCATAAAGACTGTAATTCTTAGGTGAGTCCTAGTGCTGAACTGGGCCCAGACACAGTGGACTGGGTAGGGGGAGGGCATGTGACATATTGAGGCACCAGCTGGGGCAGACAAGGTGCTGCTGGCACCACCCCTCCCCTAACTCCAGGCTGCATAGCTAGCAGCTCCAAAAGAGACCCCTTCCTTCTGCTTGAGGGCAGGAGAGGGAAGAGTGAGGAAGACTTTGTCTTGCATCTTGGATATCCGATCAGCCACAGTAGACTAGGACAGAGGTCAGAGTCATGAGGCCCCCGTTTTAGGCCCTAGTTCCCAGATTACATTTTTAGACACACACTGGGCCAGAAAGGAACCCAGTGCCTTGAAGGGAAGGAGCCTGTCCTGGCAGCATTCATCGCCTGCTAACTGAACAGCTCTTGGGCCCTGAATAACCAGCAACAAAATCCAGGTGCTATGTTAAGAGCCTTGGGTGAGATGCTAAGACTTGCTGGTCTCAGGTGAGACTCAGCACATTCCTAACCATGGTAGCTATGGGGAAGACTCCTTCTGCTTGAAAAAAAAAAAAATGGAGGGAAAAGTAAAGGGGACTTCGTCCTGCACCTTAGGTACCAGCTCAGCCATGGCAGGGTAGAGCACCAAGCAGGTTCTTGAGGTCCTCGATTCGAGGACTTGGCTCTTGGATGTCATTTCTGGACCTGCCCTGGGCCAGAGAGGAGACCACTGCCATGAAAGCTGACTCCCAGGCCAGGCAGCATTCACCACAAGCTCACTTAGTGCTTGGACCTTAAGGGAACATTGGCAGTAGTTTGGCTGTATGCCTTGTGGCCTAGGGTGGCGGCGGACGTGGGGCGAGGCTCCTCTACATTCAGAAAGGAGAGAAAAGAATGGGAAGGACTGCAACTTTTGGTTTGAGTGCCAGCTCAGCTGCAGTACAATAGAACACCAGGTAGACTTCTAAGGTTCTTAACTCTAGCCCTGAATCCTGGATGACAACTTTGGACCCATCCAGGGCCTAAGGACCTCACCATGCTGAAGGGAAGGACATAGGCCTGGCTGGCTTTGCCACCTGCTGACTGTAGAGCTGCAGGGCCTTGTGTGAATATAGGCAGTAGCCAGAGAATGGTTAGGGCAGGCCTTGGGCAACAGGTAGTGCTGTGCTGGCTTCAGGTCTCATCTAGTACAGTCAAAGTGGTGGTATCCACAGGGGTGCTTGTGGATACTCTTCCCCCAGCTTTACATGTCTCAGAACAGAGAGAGATTCTCTGTTTGGAAGAAAGGGAAGAGAACAAGATTATCTTCCTGTTAATCCAGGGAATTCTCTCAGATCTGGTCGGAGACCATCAAGGTGGTACTTGTATGAGGCTGCAAGAACCACAGCATTACTAGGCTTGGGATGCACCCTGAAGCAGATACAGCTTAGATCACAACACCTATGTCTGTTCTAATAACTAGAAAGCCTTCCCAAGAAGGACTGCTACAAATAAGTCCAGACAATGAAGACTACTATGAATATCTAACTCTTCAATGCCCAGACACAGATGAACGTCTACTAGCATCAACACCATCCAGGAAAACATGACCTCACCAAATGAACTAACCAAGGCACTAGGGACCAATCCTGGTGAAACAAAGATATGTGACCTTTCAGACAGAGATTCAAATTAGCTGTGTTGAGGCAACTCAAAGACATTCAAAATAACACAGAGAAAGAATTCAGAATTCTATCAAATAAATTTAGCAAAGAAATTGAAATAATTAAATAGAATCAAGCAGAAATTCTGGAGATGAAAAATGCAACTGGCATACTGAAGAATGCATCAGAATCCTTTAATAGCAGAATTGATCAAGCAGAAGAAAGAATGAATGAGCTTGAAGACAGGCTATTTGAAACTACACGGTCAGAGGAGACAAAAAAATAAAAAGCTATCTTCTCATTGGTTTCAAACAACTTATTTATTTCTGCCTTGATTTCGTTATTTACCCAGTAGTCACTCAGGAGCAGGTTGTTCAGTTTCCATGTAGTTGTGCGGTTTTGAGTGAGTTCCTTAATCCTGAGTTCTAATTTGATTGCACTGTGGTCTGAAAGACTGTTTCTTATTATGTCTGTTCTTTTGCATTTGCTGAGGAGTGTTTTACTTCCAATTGTGTGGTCGATTTTAGAATAAGTGTGATGTGGTGCTGAGAAGAATGTACATTCTGTTGATTTGGTGTGGAGAGTTCTGTAGATGTCTATTAGGTCCGCTTGGTTCAGAGCTGAGTTTAAGTCCTGAATATCCTTGTTAATTTTCTGTCTCGTTGATCTGTCTAATATTGGCATTGGGGTGTTAAAGTCTCCCACTATTATTGTGTGGGAGTCTAAGTGTCTTTGCAGGTCTTTAAGAACTTGCTTTATGAATCTGGGTGCTCCTGTATTGAGTGAAAATATATTTCAGATAGTTAGCTCTTCTTGTTGCATTGATCCTTTTACCATTATGTAATGCCCTTCTTTGTCTTTTTTTTTTTTCTTTGTTGGTTTAAAGTCTGTTTTATCAGAGACTAGCATTGCAACCCCTGCTTTTTTTTCCTTTCCATTTGCTTGGTAAATCTTCCTCCATCCCTTTATTTTGAGCCTATGTGTTTCTTTGCACGTGAGATGGGTCTCCTGAATAGAGCATACTGATGGGTCTTGACTCTTTATCCAATTTGCCAGTCTGCATCTTTTAATTGGGGCATTTAGCCCATTTACTTTTAAGTTTAATATTGTTATGTGTGAATTTGATCCTGTCATTATGATGCTAGCTGGTTATTTTGCCTGTTAGTTGATGCAGTTTCTTCATAGTGTCGATGGTCTTTACAATTTTGTATGTTTTTCCAGTGGCTGGTACCGGTTGTTCCTTTCCATGTTTAGTGCTTCCTCCAGGAGCTCTTGTAAGACAGGCCTGGTTGTGACAAAATCTCTCAGCATTTGCTTGTCTGTAAAGGATTTTATTTCTCCTTCGCTTATGAAGCTTAGTTTGGCTGGATATGAAATTCTGGGTTGAAAATTCCTTAAGAATGTTAAATATTGGCCCCCACTCTCTTTTGGCTTGCAGGTTTTCTGCAGAGATATCCACTGTTTGTTAGTCTGATGGGCTTCCCTTTGTGGGTAACCCAACCTTTCTCTCTGACTGCCCTTAACATTTTTTCCTTCATTTCAACCTTGGTGAATCTGACAATTATGTGTCTTGGGGTTGCCCATCTTGAGGAGTATCTTTGTGGAGTTCTCTGTATTTCCTGAATTTGAATGTTGGCCTGTCTTGCTATGTTGGGGAAATTCTCCTGGGTAATATCCTGAAGACTGTTTTCCAACTTGGTTCCATTCTCCCCATTATTTTCAGGTACACCAGTCAAATGTAGATTTGGTCTTTTCACATAGTCCCATATTTCTTGGAGGCTTTGTTCCTTTCTTTTTATTCTTTTTTCTCTAATCTTGTCTTCACACTTTATTTCATTAAGTTGACAAAGACACAACGTACCAGAATCTCTGGGACACAGCTAAAGCAGTGTTTAGAGGGAAACTTATAGCACTAAAGGCCCACAAGAGAAAGCAGGAAATATCTAAAATGGACTCCCTAACATCACAATGAAAAGAACTAGAGAAGCAAGAGCAAACACATTCAAAAGTTCGCAGAAGATAAGAAATAACTAAGATCAGAGCAGAACTGAAGGGGATAGAAACATGAAAAACTCTTCAAAAAATCAATGAATACTAGAGCTGGTTTTTTTTAAGATCAAAAAATTAGATAGACTGCTAGCCAGACTAATAAAGAAGAAAAGAGAGAAGAATCAAACAGACACAATATAAAATGATAAAGGTGATATCACCACTGGTCCCACAGAAATACAAATTACCATAAGAGAATACTATAAACACGTCTACGCAAATAAACTAGAAAATCTAGAAGAAATGGATAAATTCCTGGACACACACACCCTCCCAAGACTAAACCAGGAAGAAGTTGAATCTCTGAATAGACCAATAACAAGTTCTGAAATTGAGGCAGTAATTAATAGTGTACCAACCAAAAAAAGCCCAGGACCAGACGGATTCACAGCCAAATTATACCAGAGGTACAAAGAGGAACTGGTACCATTTCTTCTGAAACTATTCCAAACATTAGAAAAAGAGGGACTCCTCCCAAACTCATTTTATGAGGCCACCATCATCCTAATACCAAAAACCTGGCAGAGACACAACAAAAAAAGAAAATTTCAGGCCAATATCCCTGATAAACATCGATGTGAAAATCCTCAATAAAATACTGGCAAACTGAATCCAGCAGCACATCAAAAAGCTTATCCACCATGATCAAGTCAGCTTCATCCCTGGGATGCAAGGCTGGTTCAACAAACACAAATCACTAAATATAATCCATCACATAAACAGAACCAATGACAAAATCCACATGATTATCTCAATAGATGCAGAAAAGAACTTCGATAAAATTCAACACCGCTTCATGTTAAAAACTCTCAATAAACTAGGTATTGATGGAAAGTATCTCAAAATAATAAGAGCTATTTATGACAAACCCACAGCCAATATCATACTGAATGGGAAAAAGCTGGAAGCATTCTCTTTGAAAACCGGCACAAGACAGGGATGCCCTCTCTCACCACTCCTATTCAACATAGTATTGGAAGGTCTGGCAAGGGCAATCACGCAAGAGATAGAAATAAAGTGTATTCGGCCGGGCGCGGTGGCTCACGCCTGTAATCCCAGCACTTTGGGAGGCTGAGGCAGGCGGATCACGAGGTCAGGAGATCGAGACCATCCTGGCTAACACGGTGAAATCCCGTCTCTACTAAAAATTCAAAAAAGTAGCCAGCCATGGTGGCAGGCGCCTGTATTCCCAGCTATTCAGGAGGCTGAGGCAGGAGAATGGCGTGAACCCAGGAGGCGGAGCTTACAGTGAGCAGAGATCGCGCCACTGCACTCCAGCCTGGGCAACAGAGTGAGACTCTGTCAAAAACAAACAAAAACAAACCAAACAAAACAAAAAACAAAAACAAATAAAGCGTATTCAATTAGGAAAAGAGGAAGTCAAATTATCTGTTTGCAGATGATATGATTGTATATTTAGAAAACCCCATTGTCTCAGCCCAAAATCTCCTTAAGCTGATAAGCAACTTCAGCAAAGTCTCAGGATATGAAATCAATGTGCAAAAACCACAAGCATTTCTATACACCAATAATAGACAGAGAGCCAAATCATGAGTAAACTCCCATTCACAATTGCTACAAAGAAAATAAAATACCTAGTAATACAACTTACAAGGGATGTGAAAGACCTCTTCAAGGAGTGCTACAAACCACTGCTCAAGGAAATAAGAGAGGACACAAACAAATGGAGAAACATTCCATGCTCATGAATAGGAAGAACCAGTATTGTGAAAACGGTCGTACTGTCCCAAGTAATTTATAGATTCAGTGCTAACCCCATCAAGCTACCATTGACTTTCTTCACAGAAAAAAAAAAAAACTACTTTAAATTTCATATGAAATCAAAAAAGAGGCCATTTAACCAAGACAATCCTAAGCAAAAAGAACAAAGCTGGAGGGATCACACTACCTGACTTTAAGCAATACTACAAGGCTACAGTAACCAAAACAGCATGGTACTGTTACCAAAACAGATATGAGACCAATGCAACAGAACAGAGGCCTCAGAAATAACACCACACATCTACAACCATTTGGTCTTTGACAAACCTGACAAAAACAAGCAACGGGGAAAGGATTCCCTATTTAATAAATGGTGTTGGGAAAACTGGCTAGCCATATGAAGAAAACTGAAACTGGACCCCTTCCTTATATCTTATAAAAAATTAACTTAAGATGGATTAAAGACTTAAACGTAAGACTTAAAACCATAAAAACCCTAGAAGAAAACCTAGGCAATACCATTCAGGACATGGGCATGGAGAAAGTCTTCATGATGAAAACACCAAAAGCAATAGCAACAAAAGCAAAAATGGACAAATGGGATCTAATTGAACTAAAGAGCTTCTGCACAGCAAAAGAAAGTATCTTCAGAATGAACAGGCATCCTACAGAATGGGAGAAAATTTTTGCAATCTATCCATCTGACAAAGGGCTAATACCCAGAATCTACAAAGAACTTAAACACATTTACAAGAAAAAAACAAACAACTCCATGAAAAAGTGGGCAAAGGATATGCATAGACACTTCTCAAAAAAAGACATTTATGCGGACAACAAGCATATGACAAAAAGCTCAATATCACTGATCATCAGAGAAATGCAAATCAAAACCACGATGAGATACCATCTCATGCCAGTTAGAATGGTGATCATTAAAAAGTCAGGAAACAATAGATGCTAGAGAGAATGTGGAGAAATAGGAGTGCTTTTACATTGTTGGTGGGAGTGTAAACTAGTTCAACTATTGTGGAAGACAGTGTGGCGATTCCTCAAGGATCTAGAACAAGAAATACCATTTGACCCAGCAATCCCATTAGTGGGTATATGCCCAAATGATTATAAATCACGCTACTATAAAGACATATGTACACGTATCTTTACTGTGGCACTATTCACAGTAGCAAAGACTTGGAACCAACCCAAATGCCCATCAATGATAGACTAGATAAAGAAAATATGGCACATATACACCATGGAATACTATGCAGCCATAAAAAAGGATGAGTTCATGTCCTTTGCAGGCACATGGATGAAGCTGGAAACCATCATTCTCAGCAAACTAACACAGGAACAGAAAACCAAACATCACATATTCTCACTCATAAGTGGGAGTTGAACAATGAGAACACATGGGCACAGGGAGGGGAACATCACAAACCAGGGCCTGTCAGGGGGTGGGGTGCTAGGGGAGGGATAACATTAGCAGAAATACATAATGTAGATGACGGGTTGATGGGTGTAGCAAACCACTATGGCATGTGCATACCTATCTAACAAACCTACATGTTCTGCACATGTGTCCCAGAACTTCAAGTATAAAAATGAAAATATATAAATAAATAAATAAACTGAGTTTTCCCTACAAAAATAATAAAAACAATGAAGCATGCCTACGGGATCAAAAATATAACCTTAAAAGAGCAAATCTAAGGTTATTGACCTTAAAGAGGAGGTAGAGAAAGAGAAAAGGGTAGAAAGTTTATTCGAAGTGATAATAATAGAGAACTTCCCAAATCTAGAGAAAGATATAAATATCCAAGTACAAGAAGGTTACAGAACATCAAGGAGATTTAATCCAAAAAAGGCTCAAGGCATTTAATTATCAGACTCCCAAATTTCAAGGATAGAAAAAGGATCTTAGATGCAGTAAGAGAAAAGAAACAAATAACATACAATAGAGCTTCCATATGTCAGGCAGCAGACTTTTCTGTGCAAACTTTATAGGCCTGGAGAGAGTGGTATGACATATTTAAAGTACTAAAGGAAAAAAAGAAACTTTTACACTAGGATAGTGTATCCAGTGAAAATATCTTTCAAATATGGAGAAATAAAGACTTTTCCGGAAAAACAAAAGCTAAGGGATTTCATTAGCACCAGACCTGTCCTAGAAGAAATGCTAAGTGGAGTCCTTCAGTCTGAAAGAAAAGGATGTTAATGAGCAATAAATAATTGCCTACAGGTAAAAAAAACTCACTGGTAATAGTAAGTACACAGAAAAACACGGAATATTATAGCACTGTGTCTGTGGTGTGTAAACTACTCTTATCCCAAGTAGAAAGACTAAAAATTAAACCAATGAAAAATAATAACTACAACAACTTTTCAAGACATAATCCATACAATAAGATAGAAATAGAGACAACAAAAAGTTAAAAAGCAAGGGGATGAAGTTAAGGTGTAGAATTTACATTAGTTTTCTTTTTGTTTGTTTGTTTATGCAAACAGTGTTAAGTTATTTACCAGTTAAAATAACAGGATATAACATAGTATTTGCAAGCCTGATGGTAACCTTAAACCAAAAAACATGCTACATAAAAAATAAAAGCAAGAAACTAAATCATACACCAGAGAAAATCACCTTCACTAGAGGAAAACAGGAAGAAAAGAAATAAGGAAGAGAAGACCACAAAACAACTAGAAAACAAATAGCAAAATGACAGGAGTAAGTGCTGACTTATCAACAACATTTAATGTAAATTGAATAAACTCTCCAATCAAGATATAAACTGGCTGAATGCATGAAAGGACAGGACCCATTTATCTGTTGCATGTAAGAAACACACTTCACCTATAAAGACACCCATAGACTGAAAATTAAGGGATGAAAAAAAGATATTTCAAGCCAACAGAAATCATGAAAGAGCAGAAGTCACTATACTTATATCAGACAAGTAGATTTCAAGACAAAAACTACAAGAGACTCTATAAGTTCACTCAATAATGATAAAGGGGTCAATTCATCAAGAGGCTATAACAATTTTAAATATATATGCACCCAATGCCGTAACACCCAGATATAAAAAAGACATAGAACTAAAGAGAGAGAAAGGCCCCAACACAATAATAGCTGGAGACTTCAACACCCGCTTTCAGCACTGAGCAGGTCTTCCAGACAGATCTTTCAGACAGAAAATGATCAAAGAAACATCAGGCTTAATCTGCATGGGAGACCAAATGGCTCTAACAGATAATTACAGAACATTTTATCAAACAGCTGCAGAATGCACATTATTTTCCTCAGCACATGAATTATTCTCAAGGATAGATCATATGTTAGGCCACAAAACAACTATTAAAGCATTCAAAAATATTAAAATGATATCAAGCATCTTCTCTGGCCACAATGGAATAAAACTATAAGTCAATAACAAGAGGAAATTTTGAAACTATACAAACACATGCAAATTAAACAACATACTCTTGAATGACTGGTGTGTCAGTGAAGAAATTCAGAAGGAAATTGAAACATTTCTTGACACAAATGATAATGAAAGCACAACATATTATAACCCATTGGGTACAGCCAAAGCAGTATGAAGAGAGAAGGTTATTAGCTATAAGTGTCTATATCATAAAGAGGAAAAACTTCAAATAAATAATCTAATGATGCAACTTAAGGAACTAGAAGAGCAAGGGAAAATCAAAGCCAAAATTAGTAGAAGAAAAGAAATAATAAGCATCAGAGCAGAAATAAGATAAATTAAAACAAAGAAAAATAATACAAAATAATCAATGAAACAAAAAGTTTGGTTTTTGAAAAGATAAAATAGACAAACCTTTGGCCACACTAAGAAAAAATCAGAAAAGTTACAAATAAATAAAACCAGAAATGAAAAAAGAGACATTGCAGCAGATACTGCAGAATTTCAAAGGATCATTAGTGGCTACTATAAGCAACTGTATGCCGATAAATTGGAAAATCTGGAAGAAATGAGCAAATTCCTTCACACTGCAAGCTACCAAGATTGAATCAGGAAGAAGTCCGAAACCTGAACAGACCAATAACAAGTAATGATATCAACACTGTAATAAAAAATCTCCCCCCCCCCGCCCCAGTAAAGGAAAGCCCAGGACCTGAAGACTTCACTGCTGAATTCTACTAAGCATTTAAAGAACTAATGTCAATCCTACTCAAACTATTCCAAAAAACAGAGAAGGAAGAAATATTTTCAAACACATTCTATGAGGCCAGTATTACCCTGATACTAAAAACCAGACAAAGGCACATAAAAAAAAAGAAAGAAAGAAAAGAAAACCACAGACCAATAGCTCTGATGAATAGTGATGTAAAATTTTTCAACAAAATACTAGCAAACAGAATTCAACAATACATTACAAAGATAATTCATCTTGACCAAGTGGGATTTATACCAGGGATGTCAGGATGGTTCAACATATGCATTCAATCAATGTGATACATCATATCAACAGAATGAAAGATAAAAATCATATGATCATTTCAATTGATGCTGAAAATGTATTTGATAAATTCAACATCCCCTTAAGATGAAAACCCTTAAAAAACCAAGAATAGAAGGAACCTACCTCAACATAACAAAAGCCATATGTGACAGACCAACAGCTAGTATCATACTGAATGGAAAATAACTGAAAGCCTTTCCTCTGAGATTGGAAACAAGATAAGAATGCCCACTGTCACTACTGTTATTCAACATAGTACTGGAGGTCCTAGCTAGGGCAATCAGACAAGAAAAAGATATAATGGACATCCAGATTGGGAAGGAAGAAGTCAAATTATCCTTGTTGCAGATGCTATGATCTTATATTTGGAAAAACATTAAGACTTCACAAGAAAACTATTAGAATGGGTAAACAAATTCAGTAAAGTTGTAGAATAGAAAACCAACATATAAAATTCAGTTGCATTTCTTTTTCTTTTTTTTTTTTTTTTTTTTTTTGAGACGGAGTCTCACTCTGTCACCCAGGATGGAGTGCCGTGGCGCTATCTCAGCTCACTGCAACCTCCGCCTCCTCAGTTCAAGCGATTCTCCTACCTCAGCCACCCTAGTAGCTGGGATTACAGGTGTGTGCCACCAAGTCTGGCTAATTTTTGTATTTTGGGTAGAGACGGGGTTTCACCATGTTGGCCAGGCTGGTCTCGGACTCCTGGCCTCAAGTGATCCGCCCACCTCAGCCTCCAAAAGTGCTGAGATTACAGGTGGGAGCCAATGTGCCTGGCAAAATTCAGTTGCATTTCTACATGCCAACTGTGAGCAAGCTGAAAAAGAAATTTAAAAAGTAATTCCATTTACAATACCCACACCTAAAATTAAATACTTATTCGACTTAACTAAATAAGTGAATTTATAAGTGGGATTCGACTTAACAAAATAAGTGAAAAATCTTTATAATAAAAACTATGCAACACTGGTGAAAGAAATCGAGAACACCAATAAATTTAAAAAATTCTATGTTGATGAATTGTAAGAATCAATATTGTTAAAATGTCCATACTACCCAAAGCAATCTTCAGATTCAATGCAATTTTTGTCAAAATACCAATGACATTCTTCACAGAAATAGACAAAGAATCCTAAAATTTATATGGAACCATGAAAGACCCAGGATAGCCTAAGCTATCCTAAGCAAAAAGAACAAAACTGGAGGAATCACGTTACCTAATGTAAAATTATATTACAGAGCTTTAATAACCAAAACAACATGATACTGGCATAAAAACAGGCACATAGACCAAAGGAGCTGAATAGAGCAGCAAGAAACAAGTCCACACACCCACAGTGAACTTACTTTCAACAAAGCTGCCAAGAACATACACTGGGGAAAAGACAGTCTCTTGAATAAACAGTGCTGGGAAAACGGAATATCCACAGGCAAGAAATAAACTAGACCACTATCTCTCACCATATAAAAAAATCCAATCAAAATTGATTAAAGAGTTAAGTCTAAACCTCAAACTATGAAACTACTATAAGAAAACATCGGAAAATGTCTCCAGGACATTGGTCTGGGCAAAAATGTCTTAGGCAATACCCCACAAGCACAGGCAACCAAAGCAAAAATGGACAAATGGGATCATATCAAGTTAAAAAGCTTCTGCACAGCAAAGGGTACAATCAACAAAGTGAAGAAACAACCCAGAGAATGGAAGAAAACATTTTGAAACTATCCATCTGACAAGGAATTAATAATAAGAATATATAAGGAACTCAAACAACTCTATAGGAAAAAATGTAATAATCCCATCAAAAAATGGGCCAAACATTCTGAGTAGACATTTCTCAAAAGAAGGCATAAAAATTGCAAACAGGCATATGTGCTCAACATCACTGATTATCAGAGAAAGGTAAATCACAACTACAATGAGATATCATCTCACCCCAGTTAAAATGGCATATAGTTATAGGAGGGGGTAGAGGAGAGGTGGGGATGGTTAATGTTTACAAAAACAAGTAGAAAGAATGCTGTGTTTGGCAGCACACCAGGGTGACTATAGTCAATAATAACTTTTTTTTTTTCTGAAACAAGTTCTTACTCTGTCACCCAGGCTAGAGTGCAGTGGTGCAATCTTGGCTCACTGCAACCTCTGCCTCCTGAGTTTAAGCAATTCTCCTGCCTCAACCTGGCTAATTTTTGTACTTTTTGGTAGAGATTGGGTTTCACCATGCTGGCCAGGCTGGTCTCAAGCTCTTGAAATCAAGTGATTCACCTGCCTTTGCCTCCTAAAGTGCTGGGATTACAGGTGTGAGCCACCGTGCCTGGCAATAATAACTTAATTGCACATTTTAAAATAACTAAAAGAGTGTAATTGGATTGTTTGCAACTCAAAAAATAAATGCTTGAGGGTATGGATACCTCATTCTTCATGATGTGCTTATTTCCCTTTGCATGCCTGTATCAAAAACATCTCATATACCCCATAAATATATACACTTACTTCTACCCACAAAAATTAAAAATATAAATATAAAAAAGTTTAATGTATTAAAAACTTGTTATTTATTCTTCAAGTTCATATCTCTTATTAAAATATTTATAATGTAAAATAATTATTTTTAACATGAATTATCTTCATATTGATGCAATATATACATATTCATTTTGGGTTTTTCTTTTGTGATATGATACTTCTGTGGCTTCACACTGTTTTACTTGGTTACTATTTGCTCTACTCTTTTCAATTTTGGCATTGTTGATCTTCTCTACTGAACTTTGTTTTCTATTTCAGTAATTTTTATTCTTTATTACCTTTCTTTGTTTTTAATGCTGTTCTTTTTCTGACAGCTAGAAAGGCAGTCATTGACTTTCAGCCATTCTTCTTTCCTATCATTTATGTTTAAAGTTAATTTATCTCTACTTCAGACTATCTGATTTGAACATTTACTATAAAGCTATAGTAATCAAGACAATGTTCTGTTGGAAAAGCGTGTTCTATATCTATTGGATACAGAAAAATAAAATGGAATTGAGAACCCAGAAATAGGCACACACATACATAGTCAATTGGAATTCAAAAGTGGTGAAAAAGCAATTAAACGGAGAAGAATGGAATTTTCTTCAAATATTCTAGGGCAACTGTACTTCCACGTGCAAAAAAAAGAAAAAAGAAAAAAAAAGAATCTTGACATGGACCTCTTACAAGTTACAGTAAATGAATTCATCATTGATTATGGACCTACACATAGAACTAAAAACTACAAAATTAATTAGAAGAAAATATAAAATTCTTACAACATTGGGTTAGACAAATATTATATATACATATATGACACCAAAAGCACAATATATAAAAAAGAAAATAAGAATAAATTGGTCTTTGTTAAAATTAAAATCTTCTGTACTTTGAAAGTCATTTTTTTGTTTGTTTGTTTGTTTTTGTTGTTTTTTTTTTTTTTTTTTGAGATGAAGTCTCGCTCTTGTTTCCCAGGCTGGAGTGCAATGGCGCGATCTCAGCTCACTGAAACCTCCGCCTCCCGGGTTCAAGCGATTCTCCTGCCTCAGCCTCCCGAGTAGCTGGGATTACAGGTTGCTGCCACCACGCCCAGCTAATTTTTGTATTTTTAGTAGAGACAGGGTTTCACCATGTTGGCCAAGCTGATCTCAAACCCCTGACCTCAGGTGATCCACCCACCTCAGCCTCCCAAAGTGCTGGGATTACAGACGTAAGCCACCATGCCCGGTCAAAAGTCATTGTTAAGAAAGTGAAAATACAAGCCAATGATGGGGGGAAATATTTGCAAAATGTACATCTCATAAAAGACATACCCAGAAAACATTTTTAAAAAATCCTCAAGCCTCAACAATTAAAAAAAGAAAAAAAAAAGGATTTCAACAGATAGTTGTCCAAAGAAGAAAAATGGATGGAAAGTAAGCATATGAAAGATGCTCAGCATCATGATTCTTTAGGGAAATTCAAATTAAAGCCACAATGAGATACCATTAAACACCTATTAGGGTGTAAATAAATAGCAATAAAAACCTGACACTACCAAATGCTGGCCAGCAGAGGAGCAACTGGAACTCTCTATTATTGCCAGTGGAAATGCTAACTGTGAGTATAGTGACTTTGGAAAACAATTTGGCAGCGTTTTAAAAAGTTAAACACAGCCGGGCGCGGTGGCTCACGCCTGTAATCCCAGCACTTTGGGAAGCCGAGTGGGGCAGATCACCTGATGTCAGGAGTTAGAGACCAGCCTGGCCAATATGGTGAAATCACATCTCTACTAAAAGTACAAAAACTTAGCCGGGTGTGGTGGCAGGTGCCTGCAATCCCAGCTACTCAGGAGGCTGAGGCAGGAGAATCGCTTGAACCCAGGAGACGGAGGTTGCAGTGTGCTGAGATGGCGCCACTGCACTCCAGCCCAGGCGACAAGAACGAGACTCCATTTCAAAAAAAAAAAAAAAAAAAAATTAAACACATACCTACCATGCAGCCCATCAAACACACTTCTAGATATTTATACTGGAGAAATAAAAACATATGTTCACTCAAAAGCCTGCATTCAAATATTTATTGTAGCTTAAGTCATAATTGCCAAAATTTGGAAATGGCCCAGATGCCCTTCAACTGTAAAGTGGAATCCTACTCAGCAGTGAAAAGGATTGAATTTATTTATATTCATATGTAACAACATAAATAAACTTTAAATGAACTTTACTAAATAAAAGAAGCCAGACTCAAAACTCAAAAAGCTACATAATGTGTCATTTTATGCATATGACATTTTGGAAGAGACTAAACTGTAGAGATATAAACAGTTTAGTGGTTAAAAGTGAGAGGAGTAGTGATTATAAAGGAGCAACATGGGGAATCTTTGGAGTGGTGGTACACTTCAGCATCATAACTGTAGTGGCAGATGCACAAGTCAATGCCTTTGTCAAGTTCCATATAAGTACACACCACAACACATGTGTTTTACTATACAGAAATTCTATTTCAATCTTTCTGATTTGAAAAATAATCCCTCTGAGTAATATTTTAAGTGCAAATCATAAGTTGTGCTGTGAAGAGACTTATTTTGTTATCATTTGGGTCAAATTTTTTATTTCCTAATATGATTGTTTTGATTCAAAGATTATTTATCAGTGTTTTTCTTGATTTCCAGGTATATGTGGACATTTATTCATCTTTTTTGCACTGATTTCTAATCATATGTTAGCCACAGGACAGAGCCTAAATTATTTCAACTTTTAAAAATAATTGCTATTTTCTTTATGACCCAATATACAGTAAATTTTTAAAATTATGTATGTCCCTTAAAATAATGTATCTACTGCCTTTTAGGAGTGTGGTATTCTGAATATGTGCACTAGGCAGGTGCTAGGGTTTTGATATGATTTGTTTGTCCCCATCAAAGCTCAAGTTAAAATTTGGTTATCATTGTGACAGTGTTAGAATGTGAGGCCTACTGGGAGGTGTTTGGGTTATGGGGCAGATTCCTTATGAGTGGCTTGGTGCTGTTCTAGAAGTAGTGAGTTCTTTTTCTCATGAAACTGGAGGCTGGATTGACTCTTGTGGAATCAGCTTAGTTCCCATTGGAGTGCGTTGTTATAAAACCAGGATGTTCCTCATTTGTCCCTCTCCTTGCAGGTGCCCACTTCCCCTTTGACTTTCTCCACCATGCTTCTTGTACAGCCCACAGAACTGTGAGCTAAATCTCTTTTCTTTATAAACTACCTGGCCTCATGTAGTATTTTATAGTAACACAAAATAGGTTAAGACATCACGTTTATTAATTGTGTTGTTCAAATAATCTATGTCTGTGCTGATTTCTTCCTCCTATATCTGTTATTCAGAGAGATGTTTTAAGTATCTTGCAATATGAGTTTGTATTTGACCATGCCATTTTGCCTTAATCAATTTTTGCTTTATATAATTTTAAACAGTATTAAATGCATATAAATTTAAAATTGTCTATCTACTTTGTGAAGTTTTATCATCATGTAGTGATCACTGGGTCTCTAGCAATGCTTTTTATCTTAAAAATCAATTTTGTCTTATATTAATATAATTACTTCAGCTTTCTTCTGATTTGTATTTGTAACCTTTCTCTATCCTCATGTTTAATAAATTCTTTTGTATACAGCGTATTCTTGGATTTAAAAAAAAATTCTTTTAGAAAAGCTGTCTTTTTAACTACATTTTGATACATTTGCATTTAATATGATTACTGCCATATTTTGTGGTTAAATCCACCATCTTATTTTATAATTTTTACATGTTCTAACTATTCTACGTTTTATCTCATTTTATTTCCTTCTTTGTATTGAGATTATTTTTATGACTTCATTTTTCCCTCTACTAGCTTATTTCACTCTACTACTGTGTTTCTATTCATTTTGTGGTTATTCTTGAAATTGCAGCATTCACAGGCAACATGTCAAAATTTAAAATTAATAGGTACATTTACCCTTATCCTAGGCAGTAAGATATTTGAGAACTCATTTCTGCCTTCTGAAATATACATTACTATTGTCGTGTATTTAATTATATTTATATATTACTCATTAACTCTGCTAGACATTATCATTACTTTATATAATGTTCATTTAAATTAACATCAAATACCTACTTGATTTGCTCTTCTTTCCTTGCATCAGGCATCACCTCCTTTAGATTATAGTTTATTATTAGTTGGCAATGACCTGTTTTTGTCTGAAAATGTGGCTACACAGGTTGTATTTTTCAAAGATGGATGCAACAATATGTCTCATCCCACGTTCTGCTGTTAAAGTGTGATTTTGACACTCTTCCCGTAGATTAAAGTCTACTTTTCTTCCCCCTTAACATTGGATGGCTTTTACGTGACCTATTAAAATAAAAACTTTAGACAAATTAAATTTAATAGTTTAATGGAGCAAAGAACAATTTATGACTCAGGCAGCCCGCAGAACTGCAATAGGTTCAGAGTGACTCTGGGGCTGCCACATGGTCAGACAATATTTATGAACAGAAAAAGGAAAGTGATATACAGAAATAGAAATAAGGTATAGAAACAGCTGGACTGGTTATAGCTTGGCATTTGCCTTGTTTGAACAGGGTTTTAATAGTTGGCTGCATGTGATTGGCTACAAGAGCAGGTTATAGTCTGTTTACATATCCAGTTAGGTTATAGTTCATTCTATGGAGAAGTCTTTACGCCAAACTTAACATATGTAAGGAGGCAGTTTTATCTTAAATTTACAGATCTAAGGAATATGGTAGAAGTGATATTATGTGATTTCTGAGGCTAAGTGATAAAATTTGGTGAAGCTTTATTTTGTTCCCTATAACTCTTGCTCTTGAAGCTCTCAGCCATTAGGGAAGCAGTCTGACTTCCCTGAAACTTCTTTGCTATAAATAAGCACAAGCTGGCCTATGTGAAAAAACCCCATGTAGAGGTCCTGACACTTCATGAAGAGAGATGCAGAGCCAGCTCTGACCTGCTCCCACCTCTCGTTGTTCCAGTTCCAGCCACTCTGCAACTGCATGAGAAATCTCAACACAGAAATACTCCAAGTTCATCTTACAGAAACTGTGAGAGATAATAAAATGATTGGTATTTTAAGTCCTAAAATTTTGAGGCAATTTGTTACACATCAGTAAGCAATTAAACCAAGTATCTTTCATTCATGAAAGGCATTTTCACTGGGAATAAAACTTCAGGTTGACAGTTATTTTCTCTGAGCACATTGAAAAGGTATCTGACATTTTCCTTTTATTATGTGGCTGTACAGAAGTCAGCTGTCATTCTAACTGTTGATCTTTTATGTGGTTCTGTCTTTTCTCTGAGTGATTTTAATTGTTCTGTCTCTTAGGTTTTCCTCACTTTCACTTTATGTCTCAGTATTTATTTTTTTCTATGAAATTCACTAGGTGTTTTGATGCAGTAGATTTATGCCTTAAATCAGGTTTGGAGAATGCTAAGTCATTATCTTTTTAATATTACTCCTATTCCATTCTCTCTTCTCCTTCTTGGACTCAGAGTAGAAGTTGATTAAAATGTCTCACATTGTCCACCATATTACTTAATCTTTTGTCCATATTTTTCATATTTGTGTCTGTTTCTGATGTGTTCTGAGCAATATTTTCTTGTATATACCCTAGATTATTAGTTCCCTCTTGAGCTGTGTCCAATCTGCTATTAAAGTCATCCACTAAACTTTTAATCTCATTTGCTTTTTTTTAGAGCTCTATTTTGTTCTTCTACAAGTTTGCTATATTGCTTTTCTCTTTCCCTGAAGATGTAATAGTTTGACACAAGCATACAATGTGTAATTATCAAATCTGGGTAATTGGGATATGTATCACCTCAAACATTTATCATGTCTTTGTGTTGGGAACTTTCCAAATCTCTTCTGGCTATTTTTAAATATACAATAAATTATTGCTAACTATAGTCACCTTATTGTTCTATCATACACTAGAACTTATTCCTTCTATCTAACTATATGTATGGATCCATTAACCAACCCTTTGTTATTCTCCGATCCCCTAACATTCCCAGTCTCTGGTAACCACCATTCTGTTCACTATCTCCGTGAGATCAATTTTATTAGCCTCCATATATGAGTGAGAGCATACTATACTTGTTTTTTAGTGCCTGGCTTATTTCACTTAACATAAAGTCCTCCAGTTCCTTCCATATTGTTGTGAATGATAGAATTTCATTCTTTTCTCTGACTGAATAGTACTCCATTGTGAATATTTAGCATATTTTCTTTAACTATCCATCTGCTGTTTTAAATTTTTTTAAAAAAATTGTGTATCTATCTTACTTTTTTAAAGACTTAAGTTCAAGATCAGTTTAAAACTTTTATTTTAAGTACATGTGCAGGTTTGTTATGTAAGTAAACTAGTGTCATGGGGGTTTGTTGTACAGATTATTTCATCAGCAGGATATTAAACCTAGTACTCATTAGTTATTTTTCCTGATCCTCTACCTCCTCCCACCCTCCACCCTCTGATAGACCCCAGTGTGTTTTGTTCCCGTCTATGTGTCCTCGTCATTTAGCTGCCACTTATAAGTGAAAACATGTGGTATTTTGGTATTTGGTTTTCTGTTCCTGAGTTAGTTTGCTAAGAACAATGGCTTCCAGCTCCATCCATGTTCCTACAAAGAACATGATCTCATTCTTTTTTATGGCTACATAATATTTCATGGTGTATGTGTATCACGTTTTCTTTATTCAGTCTACCACTGATGGGCATTTAGGTTGATTACGTGTCTTTGATATTGTGAATAGTGCTGTGATAAACATATGTGTACATGTGTCTATAATAGAATGATTTATATTCCATTGGCTATATACTTAGTAATGGGATTGCTGAGTCGAATGGTATTTCTGCCTCTAGGTCTTTGAGGAATTGCCACACTGTCTTCCACAATGGCTGAACTAATTTACACTCCCACCAACAGTCTATAAGTGTTCCTTTTTCTCCACAACCTCACCAGCATCTGTTATTTTTTAACTTTTAACCCATTTATGCCTGAGGTTGCAATTTTTTGAATTTTTGCAGTCAGACCTTGACGATGACTTGAGCAGTTGGATATAAATAACTCCCACATGCTTAGCGTTCCAATAATGGAACGCTAAGCATAAATGTGTTAATAATAGCCATCCTGAGATGTTATCTCACTATGATTTTGATTTGCATTTCTCTGATGAACAGTAATACAAGCATTTTTCATATGCTTTTTATCTGCCTGTAAGTCTTCTTTTGAAAAGGGTCTGTTCATGTTCTTTGCCCACTTTTTAATGGCTTTTCTTTTGAAATTTGTTTAATTTCCTTATAGATGCTGCATATTAGATTTTTGTTGAATGCATAGTTTGAAAAAATTTTCTCCCATTCTGTAGGTTGCCTGTTCACTCTGTTGATAGTTTCCCTTGCTGTGCAGAAGCTCTTTAGCTTAATTAGATCCCATTTGCCAAATTTTTGTTTTTGTTGCAATTGCGTTTGGCATCTTCCTCGTTAAATTTTTGCCTATTCCTGTGTTCACAATGGTATGGCCTAGGTTGTCTCCAAAGATTTTTATACTTTTGTGTTTTACATATAAGTCTTTAATCCATCTTGAGTTGATTTTTGCATATAGCATAAGGAGTGCGCCAGTTTCAATCTTATGCATATGGCTAGCCAGTTATCCCAGCACCATTTATTGAATAGGAAGTCCTTTCCCCATTGATTGCTTTTGAAAACTTGGTCAAAGATCAGATAGTTATAGGTGTGCGGCCTTATTTCTGGGCTCTCTGTTCTGTTCCATTAGTCTTTGTGTCTGTTGTTGTACCAGTACCATGCTGTTTTGGTTAGTGTAGCCTTGTAGTATAGGCTGAAGTCTAGTAGTGTGATGCCTCCAAGCTTTGTTCTTTTTGCTTATGATTTCTTTGGCTATTCAGCTCATTTTTGGTTTCATATGAATGTTAAAATAGTTTTTTTTTTTAGTTCTGTGAAGAATGTCAATGTTAGTTTAATGGGAATAGCATTGAATCTATAAATTGCTTTCGGCAGTATGGCCATTTTAACAATATTGATTCTTCCTATCCATGAGTATGGAATGTTTTTCCATTTTTTCATGTCATCTCTGACTTCTTTGAGCAGTGTTTTGTAGATCTACTTGTAGAGATTTTTCACCTCCCTGGTTAGCTGTATCCCTAGGGTTTTGTGTGTGTGTGTGTGGCAATTATGAATAGGATTGTGTTCCTGATTTGGCTCTTGACTTGACTGTTGTTGGTGTATAGAAATGTTAGTGATTTTTGCACATTGATTTTGTATCCTGAGACTTTGCTGAAGTTGTTTATCAGCTTAAGGAACTTTGGGGCTGAGACTATGAGGTTTTCTAGATGTAAGGTTATGCTATCCCCAAACAAAGATGGTTTGACTTCCCCTGTAGTATTTGAATGCTCTTTATTTCTTTCTCTTGCCTGATTGCCCTGTCCAGAACTTCCCAAACTGTGTTGAATAGGAGTGGTGAGACAGGGCATCCTTGTCTTATGCCTGTTTTCAAAGAAAATGCTTTCAGCTCTTGCCCATTCTGCATAATTCTGGCTGTGGGCTTGTCATAGACAGCTCTTATTATTTTCAAGTATGTTCCTTCAATACCTAATTTATTAAGAGTTTTCAACATGAAAAAGTGTTGAATTCTATCAAAAGCCTTTTCTGCAGCTCTTGAGATAATCATGTGGTTTTTGTCTTCAGTTCTGTTTATCTGATGAATCCCATTTATTGATTTGCTTATGTTGAACCAAACTTGTATTCCAGGGATAAATCCTATTTGGTTATGATGAATAAGGTTTTTGATGTGCCGCTGTTTTTGGTTTGCCAGTATTGTGTTGAATATTTTTGCATCAATGTTCACCTAGGATATTGGCCTGAAGTTTTCTTTCCTTGTTGTGTCTCTGCCAGGTTTTGGTATGAGGATGATGTTGGCCTCATAGAATGAGTTGGAACTATTTTTGATATAGTTTCAGCTGGAATATTACCAGCTCTTCTTTATACATCTGGTAGAAATCAGCTGTGAATCCATCTGGTCATGGGCGTTTTTTGGTTGTAGTCTATTTATTACTAACTCAATTTCAAAGTTCTTTATTGGTCTGTTCAGGGATTCAATTTCTTCCTGCTTTAATCTTGGGAAGGTAAATGTGTCCAGGAAATAATCCATTTCTTCTAGATTTTCTAGTTTATGTGCATAGTGGTTGTTGTTTATAATATTCTCTGATGGTTATTTTTATTCTGTGGCATCTGCGGTAATATCTCCCTTGTCATTTCTGATTGTGTTTATTTGAATCTTCTTTCTTTTCTTCATTAGTCTAGCTAGCGATCTATTTTATTAATTTAAAAAAAAAACCCAGCTCCTGGATTCGTTGATCTTTTTAATGCTTTTTTGTTTCTCAATCTCCTTCAGTTCAACTCTGGTTTTGGTTATTTCTTGTCTTCTGCTAGCATTGGGATTTGTTTGGCCTTGGTTCTCTAGCACTTTTAGTTGTGATGTTTGGTTGTTAACTCGAGATCTTTCTACATTTTGATGTGTGCATTTAGGGCTATAAATTTTCCACTTATCACTGCCTTAGATGTGTCCTAGAAATTCTGCCATGTTGTCTGCTTCCTCTCATTAGTTTCAAATATCTCCTTGATTTCCACCTTAATTTCATTATTTACCCAAAAGTAATTCAGAAGAAGATTATTCAAGTTCCATGTAATTGTAAGGTTTTGAGTGAATTTCTTAGTCTTGATTTCTAATTTGATTGTACAGTGGTTCAAGAGATTGTTTGTTATGATTTCAGTTAATTTGCATTTACTGAGGAGTGTTTTACTTCGGATTATGTGATCAGTTTTAGAGTGTGTACTATGTGGCAATGAGAAGAATTTATATTCGATTGTTTTTGGATGTAGAGTTCTGTAGTGAACAACAAAGAAACAGAAAGTCAAATGCCCCATGTTTTCCACTTATAAATGGAACTAAATAATGTATATACATGGACATAGATATTGGAGACTTGGAAGGGTGGGAGAGTAGGAGGGAGGTAAGGGATGAGAAATTACTTAATGGATACAATGTACATTATTTGGGTGATGGTTACACTAAAAGCCCAGATTTCGCCACTGTGCATGTAACAAAACTGCACCTGTACCTCTTCAATACACATTTTAAAAAGAAAATGCATTGTTTTTCCTTAAATATTTGGTGGAATTCAGCATTTTTCTTCTTGGAAAGTTTATAACTGTGAATTCAATCTCTTCTATTTATATACGGTTATTAAGTTTATCTATTTCTTCTTGGGTGAGTTGTGGTAGTTCGTCTATTTCTCACTATGAATTGGTTCATTTCCTAATGAAAATGGAATTTGTCCTTTTCATCTAAGTTGTAGGATGTGTGTGCATAAAATTGTTTATAAGATACTCCATTATTATTTTAATGTCTGTGGAGTCCTTCTTTCATTCATGATTTCGTTATATGTATTTTCTCTCTTTTTTGGTCTATCTTGTCAGAGGATTATCAATTTTACTAATTTTTTTTAAAAGAACCATCTTTTGGTTTTATTTATTTTCTCTACCACTTTTCTGTTCTCAATCTCAATTATTTCAGCTCTTATTTTTATTACTTCCTTTCTTCTTGCTTGCTAAGAGTACTTTTGTACATATATTCTAAATCAATGAATTAACATTTAAGTTACTCTTTACAATTTTTGTACATTACAAAACAGACACCTAGAAGAGATATCACAGGACTTTACCTCCAACTAAAGTCTTCCATCATAGCCAAGCATTTTAAATTATAAATGACTGCCTTTGCTTTTCACTCAAGCTTCATTCTACTTTTTCCTTTTTGGTAAATTGATTGAGCCTTTTCTGTGACTATGCCGTTGGTCATTTCCCTACCTCCGTTTGTCTTCCCTTTTCACAAGTAAGGCCTTCTTACGTGATATGTTCTGCTACAGACATATTTCTATCTGCAAAGTCATGGCAAGCCCTTTCTTCCTTTCCTTCAAGTCAGATCTAGAGCATAATGTTAAGAATTTCCATTTGTTGTTCAGCTACTAGGTACCACACACCATGCTAAACACTTCACATGCATTTTATCTAATGGACACACCAAATTCTTTGTTAGGGGCTATCGTCCATTTCATTGAAAAGCAACAGAAGGTCAGGAAAGTAACATAGTTTGTTAGGCCATAGAGCTAGTTCATGGTAGAACCAGAATGTAAATCCCGGCCTATCTGACCGCAAAACTACATTAATTAACGCTATAGTGTGCAGCTTTCTGGTATACTCTAATATTATCCTCTTTTATTTTTATTGCCAGAATACCTTATGTAGCTATAATTAATGTACTACACTATAGTTCAGGCCCATTTTAACTTCTCCATATATGTAGAACGTGTTGACTCTTATCCAGAGTCATAGCTCACTTCTACTTGCATGCAGACTTCTAGTCACCTATTCTTGAGCTGCTTACAATTTCTTCCCTAATAGGAAGTCTCATCTTCGTGCCACTACCATCGTCCTCTTTTGTTGAAGCCTGCCTCCAATATATTGGTATAGTTCAGGGATATCCAAACCTTAGTGTACATCAGAATCACCAGGAGAGCTTTTTAAAACAGATCCTTGGTCCTCACCCCCAGGATTTCTTACACAGTAGGTCTGGGGTGGGGCCTGAGAATTTGCAATTCTAAAAATTTTCCCAATGAGGTTCATGGATCTCACTTGAGTATCACTAGTATAGTAATGTGGCTGATCAAATGGTCTTTGGTATGTTTTTATTATATAAGTAGAATTACAAACTAGATATGAATTCTTACTATATGAGTCTAGCCAAAAGCATGCAGAAGAAAAAAATCATAAAAAAGAAAAAAAAATCAGAAAAACACAAAATATGACACACAAAATATATTTTATCACCAACAAAACTTGAAAAACACTGCATACGATTGATCCATTTAGAAGATCATGGTGCACATCAGCTTAGGAAAGGATAGAAGTATTATAGCAATAAAACTATTCACAAATTATATTTAACCAAGTATTTCCAAATATTTCTTAAACTCATTTGATCACAAACATTTTTTCCCAGGTATAGGACCCTGTAGAACTAGTGTTATTCAGGACAAGCTTTGAGAAATGCTGCTTTAAATTAATCTTTTTTTACAGGAGAGGTCAGTCATCCCTGGGGATTTTCCAGGATCATAGAGGCTTGGTTCCACTTCATTCAAATCACACTGAGGATTTATTTATTTTGTCTAGAATCAAAATATAATTTTATCTACTATGGTTTTTGGAACACTGGGATCAGTTAGTTCTGAACAAAACTGTGCCACTGGTAAAATTGACTTTAAGAGTAGATATTCAGAGACCATGAAGCAGAGATACCAAAAGTTTTTCGGGGATCACCTATCTCTATTCTTGGCATATGTATCATCATACACTTTATAGTCTGATATAGAATTTTGACTTGCACTGATGTCAGACATACTCACTTTGTAAACTCTGCCATTCATTTTTTTCCAAATCAAGACAGATGTTTTTTCATATATTATAATCTGAAACACTTCCCAGTCTAAAGTTTCTCAACAGCAGTTAAACAAGCTCAACTTTGTCAGAAGGCTGGAATGTAGTTCTGCAGAATCAAATGAATTGGACTCATTTAGTAAAACGTAAGTGATTTCATACAGTCATCTCATCTACTTTGGGGCTTCAGTTTCCTCTGAATGGACCAATGGTTATTGATCCTTTCCAGTGTGTACATACTTCTCCTTGATCATAGAGAACGCAGAAGTAAAAAGACTTGAGTAACTTTGCTTTAACTATCTTTTGCCATTGTATCATTAGCCCCGGGGGTGAGGCTGGGCTAGAGATAGACTTGAGCATCATCCCCATAAAATAGAAGGTGGAGTGCAGGATTAGTTATACACATGAAAACTACTGATGCTGATGAAATATATTTGATGATAAGTTTATAATTACCTTTATGATTTAATGTTTAAGATAGTTATATATATATATATATCATTTTTGATAAATTAATTACCTATTTGTTTTACCTTAACAGTTTCAGGTAGCTAAGCTTTTTATAAACCAGGCCTATAGCCTCCTCTGGCATTCATATTTTCTTTTCAAAGCCTACTATTTGACAAAAATTATAACACATTATCTGTGAATAACATATTTTAAAATCATATGCCTGGGTACTATATTAAAATCAGCAAACACTTTCACATTTGATTCTAATAACAATTTTATGAAGTAGGTGTGATATTGTGAAATAGATATTTGGTCTTCTTCCCTGTTTTCTGGCATACAACGCTTAAAATATTTGAAATTTCTAAAGTGATAAATATATTTTCATATGCAAATGAATTGACTGAGGGTTGGCATCCCCTAGGTAGCTTCAGGAGGGGAGCTGGTCACTGGAAAGACCAAGGCAGGATTAGAGGGTTGGGACTTTAAGCCCCACCTTTCTTTAGGGGAGAGAAGTTGAAATTGATAGCCTATGACTAATGATTTAATCAATCATGCCTACATAATGAAGCTTATGTAAACTCCAAAATAACTAGATTCAAAGAGAGCTTCCTGATGGCTGAACATGTGGAGGTTCTTAGAGAATGGAGCATAACGAGAGGACATGGAGGCTCTGTGCCTTGCCCTATGCATCTGTTCCATTTGGTGTTCATTTGAATCGTTTATAATATCCTTTATGATAAACCAGTAAATGTAAGTATGTATTTCCCTGAGTTCTGTGAGCGCTCTGGCAAATTAATTAAATCCAAGGAGGGGGGTCATATGAACTCTGATTGATAGCTGGTTGGTCAGGAGCACAGGTACAATGATCTGGGGCTTGCGACTGGTGTCTGAATGGGGACAGTCTTGTGGGACTGAAAGTCCTCAACCTGTGAGTTTTAATGCTATCTCCAAGTAGATAGTGTCAGGATTGAATTAGAGGACACACAGCTGGTGTCCACTGTAGAACTGATCACTTACTAGTTGGGTAGGGAAATAACCCTCACACATCTGGGGTCACAGAAGTGTTCTGTATTGTGAGAGTATAGAAGCAACTGTGTTTTTCCAACAACCTCAGTAGGTCAAATCAGGACTTTTTCGGATGACCTTCAAGACAACTCAGTCAAAATGTAAATCATTGTTTTTTTAAAAATTACCATTAAAGTGTGCAGCAGACATTTCTGTTCCTTGCTCTATCCCTTACTCCTATTATCAGTATGATGAGTTTAATTTTCTACTTTGTTCATGTATTTACTCATTTGAAATTTTAAAAATGAATTATTTTTGTAATCAAAAGCAATAAAGATCTTCTTAAGTCTGTTAGAACTGAATTAACTTGTAAAGGGTTACCAATTGTGTCCCCCAAATCTGTCATTGTAAATGAGGCTTTTTCAGTGGTAAGCATAAAATATCTCCATTACTGTGTGAAACAAAAGAACTGTTGGAAATTTAATTAAAGATTACCTGAAAAAATCTGGAGTTAAGAATAAGGAATCAACTCTTACTACTCCATTCACTAATGTTAGAAGGGTGGTATAATCATGAAGGATGCAGAATACAGAATGTCAATCCCTTGGATTTTCAAGTGTAAAATAGGGCAAGTGTTATTACTACCATAAAGACATATTTATATTTATTTCTTAATCAAAAATGTGTTAGTATGAACATCATCCTCATAAAGGAGAAAAACCAATTAGAGAAACCGATCATGTGATGCACAAGTGAGTTGTCAGAGAAGTAGAAATTTTGGTGACAATGATTAATAAGCCTTTCCGAAATGAACAATTGTGGTCAACACCTGCTTCATAGTTAGATGTGATTTGCGTGCCAGATAGTGCTTAATCTCATTTCTAATATACTATGCCTAAGCTTCAAGCTCTCTGTCCCTCATACCCAGAGATGGAGAACAGTGATGAATGAGGCTCAGATATTGGGTGAAGGTATCAGCTTTACACACAAATTGTAGCCAAACTGTATCAAGGAAGTTGGCTCAAAACACTATATATCCAAGATATGTGAAGGGCAGGTATGGTCACCAGTTTATGGATAAAGGAAATTTTTTTCTTCATCTCAATCTCTTGCTTTATTTAATAGGTCACTTCTTGGCTGCAGCAGATATTTACAGTATTCTGTGTGCTCACATGAATGTGTGTTTGTGTGTGTGTGTGTGTGTGTTTAATTTATATTTTTATCATGAATCAAAGCTGACTGGATGATCCCACTTAACCCCTATTCTCTGTTCACACATAAAGTTTATTCAAAGTGATACTGCTAATGATATTAGTAAGTTATTGATCTGATATTTTACCAGGCTGTTTAACATGTCACATATTTCTAATAAAATTTTAATTGATTCTTGAGGAATATCATTAAAATGAGCAAGGATCAGATTTGACAGGTCTGCACTCAACACACAAATATAAATGTAAATATGTAATAACTAACTTAAAAGTTTTTAAGGGTAATTTTCAGCTTTTTGCACACTCCTCAGCCATAAAAGAAAATCTAAAGATTCCTTTAAAGTCTCTCATGGCTAGCATTTCTGAAGTGTTTTTTGATGTTGACATCTAGAAGATTTATTAGATGGCAGGATACAGAACAATATGAGAATTTATGTAGCTGTAAAATGGAACAATTTGAGAATTTATCTAGCTGTATAATATACCAGATAAGAGCTTAGACTCTAATATGAATCTCCATATGTTAAAATGCCAGGCCCACCATTTACAGGTTATTTAACTTTGGAAAGTTTTTCAAACTCTCCATGTCTGTGCCTCAGTTTCTCACCTATAAACCTCATAAAGTCACTTCAATGATGAAATAATTATAATCCACATAAAACCCCTTGAACAGTACCTGACACAGAGTGAATAGTAAATCATAACACTTTGTTCACTGGGCAGAAAAAAAATGCTGCTAGCCCCCTGGATAACATTCTCTTCCTCTCTAGAATGGTGGTAGTATACTAGGTCCTATTGCACATATACACATTAGGAAGATACTTTTTACTAAAGTCACTTTGAATGAGAGTATTCTGGATTTAAGTGGTGCTGAAGTATATTGCATAGCAAAATCTGAGGGTAAGTAGGCATTATGATCAAAATTTCAAGTAGTAATAAATGTAAGTTGTAAACACATTTAAATCTCATTATGTCAGTTAAGGCATCTTTCAGGACTTGCAGCTCCCTTAATAACTAGATATTAAAAAGTCAATCAAACTCAGTGTTTCCTAGGGCACATATAAGGGCAGGAGAAATTCCCTTGCATAAATGAAAAACAACAAATGTGAATGCCAAAATGCAAAGCATTTGTGGAATCTTTAGGTTTTTCTTGACCATCCACCTTTCTATACAGCAATTCAATCATTTAGACAAATTTCCTTCAACAAATGATAGAAAAGAATACGAGGCTTTGAGTAAGATAAACAAGTCCATATATTAGACAGAGTCACTAGAAAGAGACCCCTTAGTAATCTTCCTTAACTGCAATTATCAGATGGGTTTTGCAAAGAATGCAAATTTATCTGTGAAAATTGGTGTATTCCTAGACTAATACTCATTATTTTAGTCTGGGAATCTGGAATAATAATACTTATGCTGGTAACTACCTTTGCTAAACTTAAGAACCATAAAAAGACACTTTCATATAACATGTGTGACTTTTTTTCTCTAGCAAGTTTTTTGCATTTTCATGTCTTTGTGAATTTTTAAGCCCATGTGCTTGGAAACTCTGGCTTCATCCCTGACATTCTACATTTCTGCTCTTCACAGACTCCTTTACCTGCTGGGCAGCCTTGTAGCTATCTCCGTGGCAAGGCAGGGCCTCTCCTGGCATGTAAACCTGCTAAGTGAATCCGCCCCTAAGGGCGTGTCAGTACCATTTCCTGGAGCAATGTCACAGGGTGGCTCCATTTTCCATTTGAGCTCAAATATTTTGCTGCTTCCTCTGTAGCTGCCAGACCTGCTCTTGCTGCTGCTCAGGTAGCTTTCTTCTCTTCCCGGCACCACTATTGGCAGAGGTTTTGATAAGCGGTTTCCACACGTGTGTCGTGTGTCTGTCTGCCTGCCTGACTGCCTGCTTGCCTGTCTTTTTTTTCCATTATATTTCTCTGTTTGTTCCTTAGGTAGAACATCTGGGAGGTCCCTTGCTGACCACTGGAAGAAGATGAGCTCGAGCTATTGGAGTGAGACGAGCAGCAGCAGCTGTGGAACCCAGCAGCTCCCAGAGGTGCTGCAGTGCCAGCCCCAGCATTACCACTGCTACCATCAGTCAAGCCAAGCCCAGCAGCCTCCAGAAAAAAATGTAGTGTATGAGCGAGTGAGGACCTACAGTGGGCCCATGAACAAGGTGGTGCAGGCCTTGGACCCCTTCAACTCACGGGAAGTGCTCTCCCCTCTCAAAACCACCTCCTCCTACCAAAATTTGGTTTGGAGCGACCATTCTCAGGTACAACAAAGAAAGCTATGCCAGACTAGTGGAGAAAGGCAATCTTCAACCTGATTTCTCTTCCTTTCTGCTTCTTTGCCTCTATTCCACAGGATATCTTTTGGTGGATTGCAGTTATATATGCCTTGGATAGTCACCCAAATTCATCTCTTGGCTGTTATTTCACTTACTAGTGTCTGTGGTTGTTTGTTTCCGGGTTTCACTGATTTTCATAATCTAACCATAGTATAGGAAGGCTCATTTTCTGTTTGATCTGACTGAAAGATCTGATCCAAGGAATCCCTTTGCCCCTACTGCAAAGCAGTTCTCAACTTGAGTACAGTAGATTTTTATTAGAACAAGTTCCTACTGATTAATTTCATATCAGAAGCAAACAGGTTTTTTTTGGTATCAAATATGGTGATACAGGTACTGTGGCATGTCTGAGTGATAAGCAATTATTTGTGCTCAGCAAATAGTATAGCTGCTCCAGGATAAGTGAGAGGTGCAGATGTCTGAATTGTCATATGTGTTTCATCTTCCAAGAATGACACACTTTTTATCGTACAGCCTAGGTGAATAATTTATGGAATACTTGTAGAAAGAGTACTGGAAGAGTTGATATAGGATTGAGGAAGGCAAGATGTAAGCAATTGTTACATGAAAGCTACAAAAGATGGAACTCTAAGACATCCCATAAAATGAAATACGTTTGTTTCTTAAGAGTTATTCTTAGCACCAATACCTGTGTTAATAACCTTCCCAATAAATACAAGGTAACCCTGCAAGACTGTATAAAATTAACAGCTTTATGTGTATTTTATCCTCTGACTCCTTTTACATTAAATTTGCATGTTTTAAGCTTTCTGGAAAATTCTGTCCAAACTGAAATTATGTTTTTAAGATACAAAAATCTCAAAAAGCAGTCATTGGGATATGATGCTATGTTACATTATTATTACCAATCAGGAGTAATACATATTATTTTTCCAAAACCCACAAATTTGAGTAGAATATAAAGTAACATTTCTCAACTGGTTGAGAAAAACTCCACTTATACTGAGGTCAAGGAGAAGAAAAATATAAAGGTCATAAATACCAGTTTGCATTAGTGATAAAAATAATGCAAATGTGCACTCCAATATTCATATTGAGATGCTAATGCAGAACAAAATGAATGCCACCTTTGTTTTATTGTAGCTCAAAAACAATGATGTGCAGATTAAAAACAATTACTATTATCTTAGGAATCCTAAAATCATCCTATCTGCCATAGCTATTTAAACATATTTAGACCCCTTTTTTGTCAACTTGCTAGTAAAAGAAACATAAATAGATATTTAAAAGCTGAAATTTGACAAATTATAAATATTGGCTACCGGACAATTTTTAGGAGTATGTTTTATTATTTACTCCTTGGTTCAGCTTCCCCTTTCAATAACTCAGGATCAAGTTGGTTGAGCTTTTTACAAGATTTTCCTTATTTTACCTGGCATTTGCCAAAGTGATCCTTAAAAATGGACTATCTCCTTCCTAAAATGTAGCTCGCCACACAGGAGTTTATAAACAACTTAGGGCTAGAAAGTGCAGCTGCAGAAACTGGGATAAAAGATTAGAATGGAGGGCTCTGTGAAGTCTGAAGTTATTTATTATTGAAAAGGAAGAAAAGTAAGTGCTGTTAGAAAATGAGAAAAGTGAAAGTTAAGCTATGTGGTAAAGGGAAAAAAAGAAGTATTAATTCCTTAGTGAAACAAGAAGAAAGAATATTTGACTATAAATTTTCAAACTGAGTTGGATATCAAAGGGCATTCACAAATCCACTAAAAGAGAACTTGGCAAGACAGCTTTTAGATAGCTGTCACAAAGAATATGATGAGGAAACTCTTCTATTTTATTTTCCTTTCTCCCTGTTTATTGATGGAATGGCATTGTGGCATCATGTAAAGTAGGACCTAGATTTGATCTGAAATTACCTTTATGCTAACGAAATGAGTATAATGTGATGGTATGTATAATGTACCATGACAGGCATGAGCAAGCAGTACATATTACTCAAAAACCCTTAATTCACTTTATGTTTCAATAAAGTCTATCCTTAATAAACCACGTTTCAGATGAGTTGATGTGTAGCAATTAGCCTAATACCAGAGTTTGTGACCATGGCAGCAAGAAAAATTGATTTTACAATCAATGGTTGATCATCATGAATTCAGTTAAACTTTTACTTTGTCTTTGTTTTTGTTTTGTTTTGTTTTGTTTTTTGCCTTTTGGTTTTTGGAAGACATTCAGGGAATTAATGAGATTTTAAAATAAATATTACCAGTAGTAAAATATGTTGCCTTTGAGAAACCAAAATTGATGCTACTCTGCTTTGCTTCCTGAATCATAATTTTAGGTCATGTAGTAGGCATTTTCGATTTAATCAAATGTTTTCTGTAGCACTTTATTTTCCATTTCTAGCTTTTGAGTACATGCTTTTATTCTCTTAACCTCTTGTGCACTAAAATGGTGTTTATGGATATAAACATATTTTAAATTTATCTAGATATATAATGTTACTTTGTTTCTTTAATTAAACATATATTTTATGTTTTTTGGTTATTATTTTGTTTGATTGATAGAGTGTTTCTCAGAGAAAATTAAGTGTAGAAACCAGTTGCTGGTGAAATTTTCTAAATTAATGGTAGAATTAAAATTACTGGGTTTATCTGCATGAACACGTATAGTCAAACACAGATATAATCAAGGTCTCAGATGCATTTTAGAACTGAATGTGGTCTTGCAAATAAATAGAGTTCTAGAAGCTTAAAGTAAAACAAAAATTCTTAGTTCAATCTTTTACAAAGCTTAGCTGTTAACCTACCATCATTAACTCAAAATGAAATGCCTTAAATGAGCAACATTGATATGAATTACTCATTGGGCTAACATTCTTTCCTTCCACTAATTAAGGTTTTCATGAAGTTCGAGGTATTTTTCATGCATACAGAGCAGCTGTATACATGAGAGAGAAAAAATGTGAGAGAGAAAAAATGGATTAAAATAAAATATTTTTAAATACCAGTCATTCACTGAATACATGTTTATTAAGTGCCTATTTTTTAGCAAACACTGTGATTTTCTGGATAAATACCATTAACCTGTCCAGGGAGAGTTCATTTTTAGGACAGACATACAGAGCCTGGTCTGTAGGTGTCCCATGTGTCTATCTATATTTCATTTTAAAGGAGTATTTTGTGTTGTGACCATCAGCATTTTATCAAGTAAAACATGCTTTTGTGAGAGAAGGATTATTTTAGTGTATATGTTATAAGGGTTGCCATTCTTTTGAATTTGAAACTTGCAAAGAAACTCTAGAGAGCAGCCTGGGGGAAAATGTGTGTTTACGAATGACCTCTGTTCTCAACAATTATTCAGCTGGGGCTTACCTTTGTTTATATGATTTTTTTGTGCTTTTTCTTTGGTTGCAAAGATTGTGGATAACTCTTCTCTTCCACTATCAGAAAAGTTTCCCGTTCTGTGGGGAGGGGTGTGCTGCTTTGATAAATTGTTGTTCAAGGGCGTAGTCACTAAAGTGAATGATTGTTCAAGGAAGTGCGCTGCCTGAAAAAAGAATGAGGTCATAGGATAAAGGGGTTGCATTTTCAGCTTTGGTCTCCTCTTTTGTGCTTACAATTAAATGAAGCTATAGAAATTGGAGAGTGCAACTAATTGCTGAGTGAAAATGCCCATGGCAATTGTATCTTGTTTAACGGAGGTCTGATAAATTGCTGGGCCTGTTTTCAGTCAAAGGCACTCATAAGCTGTCACGGTGTGTGTGTGGCAAGATATGAGGGTGGCAAGTGGAAGAGAGGGAAACTGTCCTTTCAAGTTTATTTTCTTGACAATTCATGACAAAACAATTGGGAAATTTGCCATGCTCTTAAGCCCTATTTAAAAGTTAAAACTTTTATTAATAAATATATTTCAGCCAACTTTTTCTTCAGACCAGGGGCTATCCCAGTAGAGGTCATTTTTTGATTTTCAATAAAGTATATATACTCATAATTTTTAAAGACAGAAAGCATGCACTGCAAAAAAGACTGTGTATTTTATTTTCTCTCTGTCTCCTAGTTTTCTTCAGAAAAAGAAGAGAAAGAACCCAATATGGACCTCTTAAATGAGGGATTTGGGTTGGAGAGAAGGAGGAACAGGAAGTAGTTCTATTATACATTCGGTTGCTTTCTTTGTATGACAACAGAAACACAGATTTTATCCTAAATCAAAGAAGTGTTTATTTCATCTAAAGAGAGATTATTATAAATAACATGTTTCTTGCTATATAAGTTGAGTATAACATCTCAACAATAACCTCAGACAGGTGTTTAACTATGTTACATGGCTTTGAAAGATCCTAACAAAAACATCTCCCATACTATTCAGGGAATTTATTCAAATGGAGGTTTGCCTTGGCAAATTCTGTCAGCATAAATGTCAGGTGGTTTTTAAAGATATTGCTTCTTTTGAAACTGTTCAGCCTAGAGTATTTGTAACTCACCATTATTACCTTCAGTGATTCTCATAGTCATTGGGAGTAACAGGAGCATACACAAACCTTCCATGGTTTTCCTTCATGGAATATTATACTGTATATTAGTCTTTATGTAAAGTTTTAAAATTCAAATTAGACAACATAAAGAGTTATACTTTCATGTTAGCAAGTTTCCAAATATTTAGAAACAAAGCCTGCACTACGTATGTAATATTCTCTATGATTTAATTCTCATTACCTTCAGTCTTTCTTGTATGTCTTACACCAGGCTTTTGAGCTCTTTGACCACAGCTATCAACAGGAAAATGAAGCCAACAGGTCTTGACTGAAGAGGTTCAGATTTTGCAGTCTAAAGACCAATTGCAGAGAAAATTGTATGAAGAAAATGCCCAAAAAGGTCTATGTGGAATGTCTCAGGAAGAGCTGTAAATAAATATGCAATCATGAGGTGAACTTTGGCAGAATAGAACTATGAAGCAGTCTAGTTGGAGTCCCTAGGAATATTAATTTTAAAATCTCCACAACTTTAATTACACCTAAGAATATGTTCTCTAGAAAAGTTGCTTAAATTCCCTATACACATCCCATATCACTCCTCTGCTGCAAAAACCTTCAATGACACTAAGTATCTATAAATTGCTTAGTCTGACTTTCAAGGCCCTCCATGTTAGGGCTCCTGTGGAACTTCCTGGAACTCTCCTTCTGGTGTCCTATGTTTTAGCTAAGTGTAAATGATTGTTCTCTAAATAAAGTCCCCAATTTTCCACAGCTATGTCTTTCACTCCATTGCTCTTACATCTGAACTGCTCCTGCTCCTCACCCTCACCAATCTAGACACCCTGAAATTATACAAATTTTTCAAGCCTTTCCTCAAGTGTAACCTTCTGATCCTCTGATTGTCCCAGGTTGAAGTTATCTCTTAGCCCTCAAAACTTACCTAGTGAGCTTCTTATAGGTCTTATGATAGTCTACTTAATTCCTATTTGTACTCATAGTGTTTATGCCCTACATGATTATAACCATGAGAGGGTAGAGATTATATTCTAACATCATTTGTATCTCTTTCAATGCCACTACACAATAAGTAGTAAAGAAACTGCAAGTTAGTAACTTAGTCACATATATAATCAATCCAGTGAAAATAATATTTCATATTAATACATGGGTTTTTTGTTTTTCACAACTCTTCCATGTATATGATTATCTAGTAAACAACTTGATAGAACCTCAACAATTAGATAAAACATGCATTATTATGTTTATTGTACAAATTGTACGATGTACAAATAAAGACAATATTCATTGTGTATTATTTATCTGTTAAACAAATAAGGAAATTGAGACTCGAATAGCTCAAAATAACTTGCCTATTTAGTACAGCTGGTTAGTGAATGCCCTGAGTTTAAAAACCAGCTCCTGATATTTTCATTACATCAGCTATCTCCCTTAATTAACTTTCGATATTCATGATTTCAGTTTAAATTAGTTCACATTTTTTATTTCAACAAAACATTTGATGATTACCCTTACTGTATATTTTCCCATTCTAATGTTCCATTATCAGAATGGAAAATATCAAAAATACATTAGAGGACAAAAATAGTTTTCCCTCTAGTTTTCAAGGTCTTGCTCAGAAATAATCCTAGAATTCAGGGTATATATTAAGTTTTTAAGGTTTTCTTTCTTTCAAAGGAGAATAACACCTTTTGAGCTTCTGCCTTCCCTTCTTTCTTTACTGCACTGAGCTACTCAAAAGCATTTTCACTAAAGTAAATAACTGAGACATTTAGGCCATTTGCACATCATCTGATTTAACTCTGAAAACAGCTTATATATAAAACTGCCCTTTCTGCACATGTACCCCAGAACTTAAAGTATATATATATATAGTATATATAATATAATATATATAAATATGAATAAAATATATTTATATATATATATACTTTAAGTTCTGGGGTACATGTGCAGAAAGGGCAGTTTTGTTACATAGGTATAAACGGGCAATGGTGGTTTGCTGCACCCATCAACCCGTCACCTACATTAGGTATTTCTCCTAATGTTATCCGTCCCCTAGGTCCCCATCTTCTGACAGGCCCCTGTGTGTGATGTTCCCCTGAAAACAGCTTTTTTAACAAATAGGTGGAAATAAGATATACTTTTATGAATAATGAATTCTCTAGGGAAACCAGAGTTTCCTAGCTCAGATTTAGTGTGTACAAAGGTATGGACAATTATCTCAAGTGATGTAATGAAATTATCCCCAAGCCCACATAATTATAAACCAAATTCTTTTTCATTTCTTTTTTTTTTTTTTTTGAGACAGAGTCTCGCTCTGTCGCCCAGCCTGGAGCACAGTGGCACGATCTCGGCTCACGGCAAGCTCTGCCTCCCAGGTTCACGCCATTCTCCTGCCTCAGCCTCCTGAGTAGCTGGGAATATAGGCGCCCGCCACCACACCCGGCTATTTTTTTGTATTTTTAGTAGAGACGGGTTTTCACCATGTTAGCCAGGATGGTCTCGATTTCCTGACCTCGTGATCCGCCCACCTCAGCCTCCCAAAGTGCTGGGATTACAGGCGTGAGCCACCACGCCCGGCCCCAAATTCTTTTTCACCAGACTCTACTTAAAGTTGCCAATAAAGTATAATGTTTGTGTATATAGCAAGTCTGACCCACAGGAATAAACGACTCAACAAAATGCTGAATATTTTATCAGAAAAAGTAAGGTCTTCCTGCAAAATTGAAGAGATTAGATGATATGAGCATTAAACAAAAATTCAATGGTTTATTGAGTTTTAGAGGCTTGTGAGTACACTCTGTAAATGTACCACGCGTTTTACAAATTCTATTGAGTTTATGGAAACTTAAATTATCTAATCAAGGCTGTTCTCTCACACAGCTACTTGTGGGTGGGTGTCTTATTTTCAGGCCTCCAAAGTTGCTTTTGACACTGAATAATTTTAAAAGTCCCAGTATTTGACCTTCTGTTATAAGGACTAGTCAAACTTAACCATATAATTAGGTTACACAACTTGAAAAACAGAAAATATAATGAAGCAAGCAATAAACGTGGCAAAATATGGTGATTAAGAGCATGAGTTCTGGAGTCATGCTGAGTTGGAATTCCAGCACCTTAGCATTAGCTGTGTAATCTCCATCTGGTTACCTATCCTACCTCTGTCTAACTTCACTTGTTTATGTAATGGGGTTATAATAGTATCTTCTTTATGGGGTTATTTTGAGTGTTAAAGAGAATGATCTATGTAACATGTTTGGCACAGAAAGCTATTAATAGGTGTTAGTCATCATTATAATCATCATCAAAAGGAAAACAATACTGACAAGTTTAAAAAATTTGAAATTGTTTTGTTTGTATGGAAAAATAAGTTGGGAATGGTCTCTTATATTCACAGAACGTCAGAAACAAACTTAAAGATCCTCTAATCCACACTCGCCCACACCCATATCCCATTTCTCATTTCTCACATGAGGAAACAAATCTCAGAGAGAGAACATGAGTTGACCAGTATTACAAAAGTGGCTAGTAGTATAAATGGGAATAAAATCCAGGTCTGCTGACTCCAAGTCTAGCACTTTTTCCACTATGTCATGATAACCACCACCACCCCATTATCGCCTTCAATTATTTGGTCATCAGGAATGTGGGGCTGTGGCACAAAAGGCATAAAAACAAAAACATTGACTGTTCATTGAATTTAATAGTTTCAACATGAAGGATTTAGGTAAGCTATACACAGATGAGTAACAAAATTAAACACTGACTGATACAGGTTATTAAGAGGGAGATTTGGATTGTTATTCCTGGAGTGCTTTTAAAACTAAGATCTCCTTTTCATTCATTCTTTCAAAAATATTTTGGATCACTTTCTATGGAATGGTCAATGGCTATTTATGGGATGACTTGCTGCAATCTTGCCTAGATCTTGATGCCATTGAAAGTACCTTTCAACATCAAGGTTTTGTTCATTCTGGACATTTACTCACACCATCTTACTTAATTTTGTAGACTTCCAGGGAAAAGGGGTTTTCTTTAGCAAGTATTTCTGGAATTAATAAACCTATTTTCAGAGAGGTTTTCCCCCTTATGATCAGCCTAAATCCATACTGATGCAATTTAAATTCATGCTGTTCAACACCATATGTCTAAATATCTTTGACTCATATTAAGCTACATCTTAATGTTGTAATTTTTGAACCTATTATATTTGTTCTCTAATGTTTCCATGAGGGTTGCGTGGGAAAGCCACATTTGTCTAGATGATCAATTTTAATAATGAAGGCTGAAGTAGGGCTAAAAATAATTGAGTACATTATAATCTATGGACTTAATGTTCCAGCTTTCCACATATAAGAAGATTAAAGAATTCCTTCATTTTAGGGCAAGACTAGTCTTTGCTCAAATACAACTGTTTGCCATTTAAACATCTATTATCTTAACATCTGAATAAAGTAATACTGCTTATACTAGCATAAATAAATGTCTTTATCTGTGATGTGTGATGTGTGTGTATTCCTATTTGTTTAAATTTCTGCAGATTTATAAAACTTCTTAGTACGCTTTTGTATCTTAAAAGCTAGTCCAGTTGGCTAGTAAGATTTGCTATGTTTCATTTGCTAATGCCATCATATTTGAATTGGTTACAAGAAGGACAGAGCTATCATTTCTACAACAGCTACCAGATACTAACCATGTGTATAGTTGTCTTCTCAGAATGATACTAGTATAATATTATTAGCCCCAGCCTAAACAGACCAAACATCCTCTAGACATGAATACCTTCACACACTGCTGGTGGATGTATAATTATCATAGTCAAATTTGGGAAATTAGTTGGGCAGTATCTGTTCAAATGAATAACACACATACTCCATGCCCCAGCAATCCCAATTCTGTGTGGGATTCTAAAGAAACATGTTGCACAAGGATGCTCATTGCAGCACAGTGGAAACCTGGAAACAATATAAATGTTAATCAGCAGGAAAACATAAAAACAAGCTATAAAGCAAGCATTTTGGAATACTATTAATTGAAAATAATGAGTTAAAACATGTATCTAGTACATAATACAAGAGATACTGTTTGGTTTAAGTTGTAGAACAATGAAAGCAATAATATTACTATTTATACATAGGTATATATGTAAAGACATCTTAACTGACAACAATAGTCACTTCTGGGTAAGTGAATGGAGGAAAGATGGTCAAGAGAAGGTCTTTAACCTTATCTATATAAATGTTTATATTAAGAATGTGTTCATGTGTTATTCCATAACTAAAGAGCACCCCTCTTTTTTCTTGTCTTCTTGAATCTGCTCCTCTTGGGTCTGTGGGCCAAACCTGCCTGCACATGGTTGTATTTATAACCATTTTCCTAAACTGGATAATGTGTACCTGTTTTGTCTATAATCTGTAATTCTCTGCATTTGTCTGAGCAAGTCTTCTCAATTATTAGCAGAAAATCTGAGAATATATGCAAAAGATTCCTAGAAATACTGAGCCTGCAGTATTGCTGTTGATATAAAGGGTGGTGGAGGATGAAAATGTTACAAGTTCAACAACAGCAACAACAAGAAAGAATTCAGAACATTTGGCAGTTTGAGTAAATGCATAGTCCTGTTTTAAGAATACATGTAACACCTACATTATAGCTATAGTTCTGTATGAGTCTGTCAGTGTTTCCCTTGTAAATTAATGATTCTGATTTTTAATAGTTCCCTTGTTCTACAGAAAAAATATTTATACCTTTGTAGGAAGATATAATGGAGTCGTGCCAATTGATTGTAAATTATGGTAAGGTATGGGGAGATTGAGTAACGCCATCATTTCTTTGCACACTAATGAAGTGATTGCAGTTTTGTTGGTTTTGAGGAAATATGTAAACAATGCCAGCATGATGGACAGATTGATCATTTTATTGGACCATTTTAAAAAATTATATTCTTTCACTTTTACAGATTATTTTAACAACAGAGCCTACTCTGAAATTAGACTAGAAGCAGAATAGACAAAGCATAATTAAGAGTTAGCTTGAAGTGATTTAAAATTAATTACTCTTAGTTGCATTTTCAAAGGTAGTTTGAAATTTACTCTTAAATTTACTCTTCAAACTACCTTCTTCAAAGGTACTTTAAAATTTACTCTTAAAATTACTCTTAGTTGAGTTTTCAAAGGTAGTTTCTTATATTGGTTTGAGAATTATTTTTTCTAAGTTTTATTTTATTTTTAAAATTTTGGGCACATAGTAAATGTGTATATTTATGGGGTGCATAAGATGTTCTGATACAGGCATGCAACGTGAAATAAGCACATCATGAAGAATGGGATGTCTATCTCTTGGTTTGATAATTATTAAATTTTACATCATTTTATGAGAAATTATTTAATGAGTACAATGTACACTGTTCGGTTGATGGTTACTCTAAGAGCCCAGACTTCACCACTATGCAAAATATCCATGTAACAAAACTGCACTTGTACTCCTTAAATTTATAAGAATTTTAAAAAAGAAATAGAACAAATACTGAAAGAAAAGTTTTGTTTGTAAAATATTATATCTTGCTAATTGCAAACATATAATAACATTGGGGTGTATATGAATGCAGAGTTCTTGAAGCAGAAACAAAAAGAATGCAACCTAACAGTACAAGTAGAATGTATTGCTATGAAAGCACTCTAGAAACTCTTTTATCATTGGGTTATGTGAGAAGACAACAAAGTAATTTAGTTCTTTGGAAAGATGGATATTATCTAAGAAAGCACTAAATAATGCTCTTATTTCTGACTAACCACATTATTATAAAAATAAAGAAAAAATACCATGAGAACTTAAGACTTTCAAATAATTTCTGAACTCCCTTTTGTTTCTCTTAACAGGAACTCCATTCTCCAACTTTAAAAATATCTACATGTGCCCCAAGTACTCTACATATAACCCAAAATACTGAACAGGTAAAAGAAGTTGTGAATTACATTAGATTTGTTCCTCTTTTTTATATGGAAGTCTTCTTCATGTATGTAAGCAATCTTTAGACCCCCATAAGACTTTACACATTCACACCATGTGAGGATCATAAAATATGAAAGAGGATTCTCACATATGAGTATCACCTCAGCCCATAAAAGTAATGTGAAACAAGTGCTATGAATCAGCTTCTTCTGTTTCATTGCCTGTTCAATCTGACTGCTTTTAGTTTGAGTGCAGTTTAATTTAGCCAAGTGAGTATGGATGAAATAGCTAGATCTCAGATTGATTGAAGACTTGGCTTTATGAGTGATAGTATTATGAGTTCATATTCAGAGAGAATAACTTATAGGGTCATAACTAACTCTTCTTATAGGTGTATGATTTGAAAGACACACAAGGATCTATTTCCTTAGCCTTTATGGCCTAATAGTCCCACTTTTAGGTTTATTCTTGAATCTAGGCATTGTGTATCCAAAAGGTAGCTATAATAATAAACACATATTGAAATATGTGTTTCATTAAGTAATTGCCATATATCAAAAAGTAAATTCGAAGAAAGAAAAACATAAAGCACGCTAAGTTTGTTGTTACACGAAAGAGGAGTAAAGGGGTTATGGGATTTAAAGGGTAGGAAGGCGGGAGATGCTGTTTAAAAAAACAATCTGACCCAGATGCGGGGTCAGGATGTGAACTTGGACAGTGAGGAGACAAATGAACAAAAACTGGTCTTTAGTCCTTGAGCATAGCAAGGAAAATATGATATTATGCAGAAAAATAAGAAGATTATCAAAGAAAAGTTTCCCTACCACTTCTCAGTTTGGTCTAGATTAGAGTTAGGTCAATTAGAGTAATGCACTTACTCAGCTTACATTTGCCGAACACCAAGTATGTGCCACATATTGCACAAAGGTAAATTAGACACAATCACTATTTTCAAGGAGCTCACAGACTAGCATGGGCCACATACATAACAAACCATTGGACAGTGGGATAAAGGTTATAATTGACTTAGAAATGCAGCCCTATAGGACCAACAAAGTGAGATTGATTCACTTAAATCACAGGGGTGTTGACTACAGTCAAATCCAGTCAAAAAATTGTATTATCTATTTTATTTTTCATAATTAAGGGTTTTAAAATTGGGTTTACTGTACATATTATTTCTGATAATGAAAATATGTGTTTGTTGTAGTAAATTTTAGAACTATTAAAAAATATAAAGAAGCAAAAACAAAAATCACTCATGATTCCTTCCCCCACCTAGAGATTACTACTCTTTATATTTTGTTGTGTTTTCTTCCATTCAAATACAAAATTGAGTTTATACCATATATACAGTTTTATATCCCCATTTTCTCACTTATATGATATTATGAGCTTTTAATATAAATTTGTATTATTCAAGATCATTATTTAATGGCTACATATTCCAGCCTATGGATGATTATTCAATCTTCCCCCTCTCCATAAGAGAATACCTGCCCTGCTGAACCTTCATCAGCATTATTTTTCAAATTTTCCAGTAAAAATATGGCATTCTTCTGCTATGTTTGATTCCTAGTTTGGCTGAACACTTTTTGTTAAGTTTATTAACCATTTGCTTTTATTTTTTATAAATTGTTCATGTCATTTGCTCATTTTTCTATAAGTGTGATTTTGTTCTCATTGATATATAAGAACTCTCTTTATATGGATGATATGAACTCTTTTCCCTGCCATGGAACCCCTCACCTGCTCATTACCAGGCAGGGAACCCCCGACTTAGGCCTACAGCACAGAACCCCCATCCCGGGCTGATAGCACTGAGTGACTGCTGACCTGTATCTCCCTGGGTGGAGCTCCCAGGAGACAAGTAAAAGACCTTTGGCCACAACCACTGCTAAGGTCCTCTCTGCTGCCTCCAAGTTGAGGAGAAAACAAACACTGATATCGCCATAGAGCTGTAATGGACATCCCTGGAGTGCCAAGCCACAGTCTACAGCCAGCACTCAAGTGGGAGAGGAGCCCACACTTTCAGGGCATTGAGAGGGAGCATAGCTGCAACTGTGAGGAAATAACAGAGGAGCAACAGGACAGAGCAAGAGCCTACCAACAGACCACTATGTCTAAGCGCCACCTATTGGATCACAACCCAAAGCTTCAACAACAATACCTCACTAACATAGCCCCCTGTGAAACCAAAGACAAGAAGTCAGCTATTTAGACCCTGCACAAAACCTCAGCCCTGTGAAGACATACAAAAAAGAAGTCTATTGACTGTAGTCAACCTACACTGCAGTTAAAGGAACACCCACACACAGAGATAAGAAAGAACCAATGCAAGAACTCTGGCAACTCAAAAGGCCAGAGTGGCTTATGTCCTCCAAATGATCACACTTGTTCTTCAACAAGGGTTCTTAACCAGCCTGAACTGGCTGAAATAACAGAAATAGAATTCAGAATATGGATAGAAATAAAGATCATTGAGATTTAGGAGAATGGCAAAACCCAATCTGAGAAAACTAATAATCACAATAAAATGATACAAAAACCAATACATGGAACAGCTAGTAAAAAAAAGAACCTAACTGATCTGATAGAGCTGAAAAAACACACTAGAAGAATTTCACAATGCAATCACAAGTATTAAAAGGAGAATACATCAAGCCAAGGAAAGAATCTCAGGAACTGAAGACTGGCTCTCTGAAATAAGACAGTCAGACAAAAATAAAGAAAAAAAAGAATGAAAAGGAATGAACAAAATCTCTGAGGAATATGGGATTATGTAAACAAGCTAAATCTATGAAATATTGGCAACTCTGAAAGGGACAGGGAGAAAGCAAAATTTTGGAAAACACATTTGAGGATATGGTCCATGAAAACTTCCCTAGCCTTGCTAGAGAGGCTAACAGTCAAATTTAGAAAATACAGAGAACCATGCAAGATTCTACACAAGAAGATCATCCTCAAGACACATAATCAGCAGATTTTCCAAGGTTGAAATGAAAGAAAGAATGTTGACAGCAGCTAGAGAGAAAGGGCAGGTCACTTATAAAGGAAAGCCCATCAGGCTAACAGTGGACCTCTCAGCAGAAACCCTGCAAGCCAGGAGAGAGTAGAGGCCTATATTCAACATTATTAAAGAAAAAAAATCATCAAACAAGGATTTCATATCCAGCCAAACTAAGCTTCTTATGCAAAGGAGAAATAAGATTATTTTCAGATAAGCAAATGCTAAGGGAGTTTGTTACCATCAGACCTGCCTTGCAAGAGATCTTGAAAGGAGCACTAAACATGGAAAGTAAAGATCATTACCAGTCAATAGAAAAACATACTTAAGTGCACAGATCAGTTACATTATAAAGCAGCCACACAAACAAGCCGGCATAATAACCAGTCAACAAAATAATAACAGAATCAAATGCACACATTTCAATACCAAAGTTGAATGTAAATGGACTAAACACCTCAGTTAAAAGGCACAGAATGGCAAGCTGGATGAAGAACCAAGACTCCCCCTAAAAAATGCTGTCTTCAAGAGACCCATCTCACTTACAATGACACCCATAGGCTAAAAGTAAAGGGATGGAGAAAAATCTACCAAGAAAATGAAAAAAAGAAAAAAGCATGGGTTGCAATTATAATTTCAGACAAAACAGACTTTAAGAAAGATTTTTAAAAAGACAAAGAAGGGCATTACATAATAGTAAAGATTTCAATTTAACAGGAAGACTTAACTGTCCTAAATATATATGCACCCATCACAGGTGTACCAAGATTCATAAAGCAAGTTCTTAGAGACCTACAAAGAGATGCAGACTCCCATGCGATAATAGTGGGAGACATCAACACTCCACTGAAAGGATCAGACAGCTCATCAAGGCAGAAAATTAACAAAGATACTCAGGTCCTGAACTCAAGATTTGACCAAATATATCAGATAGACCTCTACGGAACTCTCCTCTCCAAAACAGCATAATATACATTCTTCTCATCATCACGTAGCACATACTCTAAAATCCACCAAACAATCAGATATAAAACAATCTTCAGGAACTGCAAGAGAACTGAAATCATACCAAACACCTTCTTGGACCAAAGCACAATAAAAATAGAAGTCAAAGTTTTAAAAATCGCTGAAAACCATGCAATTACATGGAAATTAAACAACATGCTCTTGAGTGACTTTTGGGTAAATAATGACATTAAGGCAGAAATCAAGAAGTTCTTTGAAACTAATGAGAACAAAGATACAACATACCAGAATCTCTGGGATGCAGCTAAGGCAGTGTTAAGAGGGAAATTTATAGCATTAAACACCCACAACCAGAAGTTAGAAAGACCTCAAATTAACAACCTAACATCACAACAGAAAGAATTAGACAATGAAGAGCAAACCAAACCCAAAGCTAGCAGAAGACAAGAAATAACCAAATCATTGCTGAACTCAAGGAAATTGAGATGCAAAAAAAAATTCAAAAGATCTACAAATCCAGGAGTTCGTTTTCTCAAAAAATTAATAAGGCAGATATGCTGCTGGCTAGACTAATAAAGAAGAAAAGAGAGAAGATCCAAATAAACACACTTAGAAATGACAAAGGGGATGTTACCACTGACCTCAGAGAAATAAAAATTACCATTAGAAACTGCTACAAACACCTCTATGCATACAAACTGAAAAACCTAGTAGAGATGGGTGAATTCCTGGACACATTTTTCCTCCCAAGACTGAAGCAGGAAAAAAATTGAATCTCTGAGCAGACCAATAATGAGCTCCAAAATTGAATCAGTAATAAATAGCCTAACAACCAAAAAAAGCCCAGGACCAGATGGATTCACAGCCAAATTCTACCAGATGTACAAAGAAGAGATGGTACCATTCATATTGAAAGTACTACAAAAAATTGAAGAGGTGGGACTCCTCCCCAAATCATTTTATGAGGCCAGCATCATCCTGATACCAAAACCTGGCAGAGACACAACAAAAAAAAGAGAAAGCTTCAGGCCAATATCCTTGATGAGCATTGATGCAAAAATCCTCCACCAAATACTTGCAAACTTAATCCAGCAGCACATCAAAAAACCAATCCACCACCGTCAGATAGGTTTCACTTCTGGGATGCAACACTGGTTCAGCATTCACAAATCAATAAATGCTATGCATCACATAAACAGAACTAAAGACAAAACCACATGATTATCTCAATAAATGCAGAAAGGCTTTTGATAAAATTTAACATTGCTTCATGTTAAAAAGTCTCAATAAACTAGGTATTGAAGGAACATACTTTAAAATAATAAGAGCCATATGTGACAAACCTATAGCCAACATCATAGTGAAAGGGAAAAAGCTGGAAGCATTCCGCTTGAAAACTGGCATAAGACAAGGATGCCCTCTCTCCCCACTCCTATTCAACATAGTATTGGGAGTCCTGGTCAGAGCAAACAGGTAAGAGAAAGAAATAAAGAACTTTAAAATAGAAACAGAGGAAGTCAAACTATCCCTGTTTGCAGTTGACATGATTCTATATCTAGAAACTCCCATAGTCTTGGCCAAAAACTACCTTAAGCTGATCAACAACTTCAGCCAAATTTCAGGATACCAAATCAATGTGCAAAATCACTAACATTCTTATACACGGACAACAATTATGCCAAGAGCAAAATCAGGAATGCAGTCCCTTTCACAATTGCCACACACACACATACACACACACACACACACACACACACACACACACGAAATACCTAGGGATACAGCTAACTAGTGAGGTGAAAGATCTCTACAATGAGAATTACAAAACACTGCTCAAAGAAATCAGAGATGACACAAACATGGAGAAACATTCCATGCTCATGGATAGGAAGAATCAATATTGTTAAAATCACCATACTGCCCAAAGCAATTTATAGATTCAATGCTATTCCTATTAAACTACCAAGGATATTCTTCACAGAACTTGAAATAAAACTATTTTAAAATTCATATGGAACAAGAAAAAGAGGCCAAATAGCCAAGGCAATCATAAGCAAAAAGAACAAAGCTGGAGACATCACGCTACCCAACTTCAAACTACTACAGGGCTACAGTAACCAAAACAGCATGGTACTGGTACAAGAACAGACACATAGACCAAGGGAACAGAATAGAGAGCGCAGAAAAAAGGCCGCACACCTACAACTATCAGATCTTTGACCAAGCTGTCAAAAACAAGCAATGGGGAAAGGACTCCCTATTCAATAAATGGAGCTGGGATAACTGGCTAGCCATATGCAGAAGATTGAAACTGGACCCCTTCCTTACACCATATACAAAAATCAACTCAAGATTGACTGATTACAGTCTTAAATGTAAAACCCCAAACTCTAAAAACCCTGGAAGACAACCTAAGCAATACCATTCTGGACATAGAAACAAAATGTCAAAAGCAATCCCAACAAAAGCAAAATTGACAAATAAAATCTAACTTAACTAAAGAGCTTCTGCACGTTAAAGGAAACTATCAACAGAGTGAAACGAAAACCTATAGAATGGGATAAAATATTTGTCAACTACACATTTGACAAGTCTAATATCCAGCATCTATAAGGAACTTGCACAAATTTACAAGAGAAAAGCAAACAACCCGATTAAAAAGTAGGCAAAGGACATGAACAGACACTTCTCAAAAGAAGCCATACATGTAACCAACAAGCATATGAAAAGAAACTCAATATCACTGATCATTAGAGAAATGCAAGTCAAAACCACAATGAGATTCCACCTCGTAACAGTCAGAATGACTATTATTAACAAGCCAGAAGAAAATAAAACCTAACAGATGCTGGTGAGGCTGTGGAGAAAAGGGAAAGCTTATACATTGTTGGTGGGAGTGTAAATTAGCTCAACCATTGTGAAAAGCAGTGTGGCAATTCCTCAAAGGGCCAAAAATAGAACTACCCTTTTACCAGCAATCCCCTTACTGGGTATACAACCCAGCAATCCCATTACTGGGTATATATCCTAAGGAATATAAATCATTCTACCATAAAGACACATGTACATGAATGTTCATTGCAACACTGTTCACAAAGGCAAAGATATGAAATCACTATGCCCAATAATGACAGATTGGATAAAGAAAATGTGTATATATGTATATATATATATATATATATATATATATATACATACCATGGAATACTAGGCAGCCATAAAATAGAATGAGATCATGTCTTTTGTGGGAACATGGATGGAGTTGTAGGCTATTAAACTTAGCAGACTTACACAGGAACAGAAAACCAAATACCGCATGTTCTCACTTATAAGTGGGAGCTAAATAATGAGAAATCATGGACACAAAAAGGGGAACAATACACACTGGCCCACACTTAAGAATGCAGGGTTGGGGGAGGGAGAGGATTAGTAAAAATAACTACTGGGTACTAGGCTTAGTCCATGGGTGATGACATAATCTGTACAACAAACCCCTGTGACGTGAATTTACCTATATAACAAACCTGCATATGTTCTCCTGAACCTCTAACAAAAGTTAAAAATAATAATAAATAAATAAATAATAAATAAATCTACATGAACCCCCCAAAAAAACTCTTTTCCCATCAACATTTTACAGTGATATCTATGGTCCTCTCTTTCCAGCACACTGAGGATTTATATGTTTAACTACACACACATACACGTTTTTCTCTTTATGTCTCTTTTCATTTTTTTTAACATGTCTTTTCCAAACCAGAGGTTTAATTCATCAACTATTGAGGTATTATTTTCTTGTAATCATTTACAATGAAAGAAGCATTTTAAAATGCTTGTCAAATATAGTTTGGAATGTGGATGAAATACCATGAAATGAGTATAATACGAGTACCCAGTAAAATGTTGGGCACAGAACACATGCTTTTATACATGTTTCTGAAATTAAAATTAACTAAATCATAAAATCATACATTATCATTCATGCAAATAACTAAAAATTTAACCCTGGAAATTGTTCCCTATTATTATTGATAGCTCCAAGCTCATTAAATAACTATGATTATATCCAGCTTTTGTCTTTTCTTCACAGGAACTTCATTCTCCAACAGTGAAACTTACTACATATCCACAGACCACTATTAGGAAATATGTAGTACAAAATCCTGAACAGGTAAGACACCAACTTTTACCAACATATAATTCTTTAGAAGTTAATTGCTTAAACAAAAAGGCTTAATCAGTTACCAGATCCTTAAGATCAGATTGTTGGACTTTCTTACAGTTACAAAGTAAATTGCTGATTATCAGTATCAATAAATGCCATCTTTAATGCCAAACAACCATGAGTCTATATATTCTGACTCAGAGATGCAATACTTCCAAGCAGGTTGGAAATTCTTGGGTTGTAAAGATTTTCCTCTTCTATAGCCCCACCCTTATGCTACAAAAGACTTTTATGCACTTTGAACGAAAGAAAAAAGGGACAAAGTTCTTTTACAAGCTTCACATAAAAGCTCTGTCAACTGCTGCACCAGGGGTTGGAGTTTTCAGGCTATTTACCTTTGCCATGGAGATATGGACTAGGAAGATGAAAATTAAAGGTCAAAGGTTAAAAAGTGTCCCTATGCCTTTATTGCCTGTGGTGTGTGAACTTTTGTACCCAGCAATGAGTTTTTTAGAAAATTACATTTTTTTACTGAGATATAAATCCTTACATTTCACAAACTAAGATTCCACCTTAATAAGCCTCTTTCCATTATTGAAGAATGAAACAAATTTCAAGTTTCATGATGCTTTGTAAACGAAAAGTAATCTAACTTGTTTTACAAAGCAGCTTGAAAATCCTGTTTAGCTATACTCCCCATTTAATTTATCTAAGTAGATTCCTTTTTTGTTTGCTCTTTTAAATCCCCTCAGGAGAAGATTCTAGTTTAATTACAATATTTATAATAAGCTGAGCCTTCTAAATAGCAATTTCATCCTCTTTCACCTCCCAGCTTGTCTAATCTTTATTTCTTTTTCCTGTCATTAAAATAATCTCAGTCCAATTGTTGCATTATGATTTTTTTCTATCTCTGTTAAGCCTTTTTATCTTTTTGTTGTTCCTGATCTTCCTTAGTCTCCATTTGTCATCATTTAATCTAAGGATTTATGCATTCTGGTTAACATTTGATCCAGAAATGAAGGAAATACCTTTGTTCCATTAGTGGACATAATCCAATTAGTACTAATCAATTTCATTAATTTTCCAGTTGTGGAGCTCCTGCTATGGGGAAGACACTATACAGTCTCTCAATAGAAACAGGGAAATAAGGCATGTTTCCCCAATTAAAGGAGCATACAGCTCTTCTCAAGGAAAGAGATAAGACAGGTCCACAAATAGCTATGTAGAATACATGGTGAGATGTAGGATAGATGCCGTGAAAGGACCACAGATAAATTATTATTGGAGTTCAGATGTCGGAGATAATACATTTGTTTGAGGGAAATCAGGGAAGGATTTATTGTGGTGTTTAAGGTATTAGTATGATTAACCTTGATATTAGCATTGTTTTACTACTAAGGAAATGAAAGTTTGAATAAGCGTAACTTGCTCAGGTCTTCTGATGCTAATTCATCACTCTCTATCTTTTCTGGAAGCTATTTTAGATGGTAGCTTTAACAAGATTCGATGACTTACTGGATATGGGGAAAAGTCAACATGACCCTAAGCTTTTTAGCTTGAGACACTGAGAGTAAGGTGACCCACTTAGAGTGATTGAAAAGTGAGTGGGAGGAGAAGTAGATTTAGAAAAGGGTGAAATTTTGAGTTTTATTTGAACCAGTAGCATTTTAGGTGCATTTTTAACTAACAGGCAGTTAAAAAACGACTCAAAGAAAGGTCACATTTAACAGAGATGTGGGAATCATTCCTCTTAAAGGTATCATTGAAGCTATGGGAATGAGTGAGATCACTAAGAGGTAATGGAGAAGGTTGGGTCAGAACCTTGAGAAATGTCTACTTTAAGTGAATAGAAGGAAGGAACCACTTTCACAGACAGAGGGGTTATCAGAGAGGGATGTGAACACACCATAACAGAGGCAAATGCAAACATGGGGTGGTCAACCGTCTCAAATGACCAAAAGGCATAAGAAGATGAGGTTTGAGAATAGGGTTTGACCATTAAGAAAGTGATAGTGACATTGATAGAGCAGTTTTGGTATACTTATGGAGGCAAAATCCAGATGCAAGAAGTTAATGGGTGAGAAGATGAGATGAATTGAAAAAAATGAGTGAAGATTACTCTTCTGGAAGGGTATTGGTCAAAGAAAGGAGAGATGGATGGTCGCTAAAGGAGAAATGAGAATCTTGTGAACCTGGGAAACTTGTAGATAGAAAGAACCAGTAATAAGGAAGGCTAAAGATGCAACAGAGAAAGGAGACAAATGGGATAATATTCTGGAAGAGATAAGAAGGAATGGGATTCCAGATACAGATGGAGAAATGACTTCAGGAAAAACAAAGAGAGAGAATGTATCTTTTTCCTTAAGTGGATGGAAGGAGCAGAAAAGAGGGATTTTTGAGATGTGCAGGAAAATAGAGAGATCTCACTGGATAGATTATCTTGGTTGTCTCTGTAAATAGGAGGAGAAAGAGGGAGTATAAGCACAGGAGTTGAGGAAAATGAAAATATTTGTAAGCAACGTAGTAAAGAATTTGATGAATACAAATGTAACCACAAAGGTTGAAGGGTCTACTTCAAGTTGGATATCTTCAAACTCTAATGAGCCAAATCAGCAAATCTTTTTTAAAAAAGTTTCTTCCACCAAGATTTTGGGGCCTGGGAACCGTAAAGTAGATGTTGGGGATTATATACTTTGTTAGATGTGAGAATTACTACCAGAGGTTCTAGCTGTTACAATTAACATTATAAGATCTGCCACTTTGAAAACACCTATTAATTTTTAGGGTGGATCTGGCACCAATTCAAATGGACAGGTTGAGAAAAAGAAGGTGCCAAAATAGTAGAATTGTCTAGCAGCTCATTTGTTGAGACATCTAAAACGTCTGATTAAATTTATTTTGTTGACTTATTTTGACAGAATTGTTTATTTAAATCAATTTTTGATTTACTTCCTTACAGATTTGGGGAAAGTAATTGTCCTCTAAATTTGGAGGTTTTTTTTTTCAGTAAGACATTTCAAGTAATATGGCGAAAATATTCCAGACAGAATCAACATCGTTAGTGCCTAGACAATCTTTTTTCTTTTTTTTTCTTTTTTTATTATACTTTAAGTTCTAGGGTACATGTGCACAATGTGCAGGTTTGTTACATATGTATACATGTGCCATGTTGGTGTGCTGCACACATTAACTCGTCATTTAACATTAGGTATATCTCCTAATGCTATCCCCCCCTCCCTCCACCCCACAACAGGCCCCAGTGTGTGATGCCCCCCTTCTTGTGTCCAAGCGTTCTCATTGTTCAATTCCCACCTATGAGTGAGAACATGCGGTGTTTGGTTTTTTGTCCTTGCAATAGTTTACTGAGAATGATGGTTTCCGGCTTCATCCATGTCCCTACAAAGGACATGAACTCATCGTTTTTTATGGCTGCATAGTATTCTATGGTGTATATGTGCCACATTTTCTTAATCCAGTCTATCATTGATGGACATTTGGGTTGGTTCCAAGTCTTTGCTATTGTGAATAGTGCCGCAATAAACATATGTGTGCATGTGTCTTTATAGCAACATGATTTATAATCCTTTGGGTATATACCCAGTAATGGGATGGCTGGGTCAAATGGTATTTCTAGTTCTAGATCCCTGAGGAATCACCACACTGTCTTCCACAATGGTTGAACTAGTTTACAGTCCCACCAACAGTGTAAACGTGTTCCTATTTCTCCACATCCTCTCCAGCACCTGTTGTTTCCTGACTTTTTAATGATTGCCATTCTAACTGGCATGAGATGGTATCTCATTGTGGTTTTGATTTGTGTTTCTCTGATGGCCAGTGACGATGAGCATTTTTTCATGTGTTTTTTGGCTGCATAAATGTCTTCTTTTGAGAAGTGTCTGTTCATATCCTTTGCCCACTTTTCGATGGGGTTGTTTGTTTTTTTCTTGTAAATTTGTTTGAGTTCTTTGTAGATTCTGGATATTAGCCCTTTGTCAGATGAATAGATTGCAAAAATTTTCTCCCATTCTGTAGGTTGCCTTTTCACTCTGATGGTAGTTTCTTTTGCTGTGCAGAAGCTCTTGAGTTTAATTAGATGCCATTTGTCAATTTTGGCTTTTGTTACCATTGCTTTTGGTGTTTTAGACATGAAGTCCTTGCCCAAGCCTATGTCCTGAATGGTAATGCCTAGGTTTTCTTCTAGGGTTTTTATGGTTTTAGGTCTAACAAGTAAGTCTTTAATCCTTCTTGAATTAATTTTTGTATAAGGTGTAAGGAAGGGATCCAGTTTCAGCTTTCTACATATGGCTAGCCAGTTTTCCCAGCACCATTTATTAAGTAGGGAATCCTTTCCCCATTGCTTGTTTTTGTCAGGTTTGTCAAAGATCAGGTGATTGTAGATGTGTGGTATTATTTCTGAGGGCTCTGTTCTGTTCCATTGGTCTATCTCTCTGTTTTGGTACCAGTACCATGCTGTTTTGGTTACTGTAGCCTTGTAGTATAGTTTGAAGTCAGGTAGTGTGATGCCTCCAGCTTTGTTCTTTTGGCTTAGGATTCTCTTGGCAATGTGGGCTCTTTTTTGGTTCCATATGAACCTTAAAGTAGCTTTTTCCAATTCCGTGAAGAAAGTCATTGGTAGCTTGATGGGGATGGCATTGAATCTATAAACTACCTTGGGCAGTATGGCCATTTTCACGTTATTGATTGTTCCTATCCATGATCATGGACTGTTCTTCCATTTGTTTGTGTCCTCTTTTATTTCGTTGAGCAGTGGTTTGTAGTTCTCCTTGAAGAGGTCCTTCACGTCCCTTGTAAGTTGGATTCCTAGGTATTTTATTCTCTTTGAAGCAATTGTGAATGGGAGTTCACTCATGATTTGGCTCTCTGTTTGTCTGTTATTGCTGTATAAGAATGCTTGTGATTTTTGTACATTGATTTTGTATCCTGAGACTTTGCCGAAGTTGCTTATCAGCTTAAGGAGATTTTGGGCTGAGATGATGGGGTTTTCTAGATATACAATCATGTCATCTGCAAACAGGGAATGACCGTTCATCATTTATAGTGAACTTCATTTCACAGAAAAAAAATTTCATGCTTTTGCTAAATTTGTTTTCCCTCTCTTAGAGGATGATTACATTCCTAAGATGAAGGTTCATATCATTCCTTCTCACTCAATCATCAGTTCCTTCACTATGTGGTACTCAAGATCGTCAAAGTCCCTGCCCTCAGTAAGCCTACTTGTGTGTATTTTTATACTTGATATTCTACAAAAGTTATAAGGGAATTATCAATATTATTTAAAACACAGTATGGATTTTAAATATTATATTACAATATTATTTAAAACAAGTGTCATTTTTACATTAAAATTATAGATTAAGGGTACTTTAAAACACATGATCTTACCTGATATTCTGCATTACCCTCCCTATGCTAAGAAAACTGAGCCTCCAATAAGGTTAATGGCCTACCTGCTTTTCTGCAGCACATAGGAGAAGGAAGAACTGAAATATAGGTTTTATGACTGCATAATTTTTTTCCCATTATACTTTCTTCCACTGATTTTAGTAGTCAAACCCAATGGATTTGTAGTAATCCAAATCCAATCCACTTTATAATTCTCATCTGTTGGGCACTCTGAAACATTTTTACCTTTGACTTCCTACTGCTTCTTGAAAATTACTCTTCCTTTAAATTACAATATTTTCTCTTCTAAGACCTCTTGAGACATGTCTAGTTCTGTATTTGCTCTTCATTTGACTACTCAGCAATTGCTAGTTTAACCTAGCACTAGTGAGCAGGTGGTCTTGATATATGTAATAGATCTGTAGCCTTGCACTCACCACTTAGTTCCAGACCTGTGTTTTCACCTATGCATTGAACGTCTACATCTGAGTGTCTACCCAGACATTTTTTTGTAAAAGAGTCTCTTTGGGAGCTATTTGCAATCATTTGTGACATGTTAAAGGGATTACTATGCACTGTGTAGTTTGCTGAGTGTTCTGGGGAATAAAAACATAATCAGACCTAGATTGTTATTAGGAGCACGTAAAATGTCTCAACATTTTCATTTTTGGTACCGTGTAGTAGACTCCTCAGGTTCAAGATCTCAGAGTCATCTTTGAACAGTACTGTTTTTGATTATTGGGATAATCTTACCAGTCTCCTCATCTGTACTCTTCTTGTAATTAATCTCCCTGAAGTAAACTTCACCTCATACCCCTGTTTAAAAGCATGTAAGGACTTCTCACTGCTTGAAGAACCAAGCTCTATCTGCTAAGTATGTCCCATACATATAACTTACACTTTTCCAAACTTGGTGACTTTAATTGTCTTGTTTCCTTCACTTGGAATACCATTTTCTTCAATTTTCTCATATCCAAAGACCACTTTAACTTTCTTTCAAATGCCACCTAATCCAGGTACTCTACTAGAGCACAGCCAGATGGAACTCAGTTTTTTTCCTCTGAACTCCATCCCATAAGTTCTTTCTCTGTACGTGTAAAGGCATTTGTCTCTTTCTACTTTGCATATATGTTTATGTTCATATATTATCTAGATCAGGGATTGGCATAATTTTTCTGTAAAGAAACAGATAACAAATATTTTAGGTTTTGCTGGCCACATAGGTTCTTGGCCTTTGTTTTTTATTTATAGTCCTTTAAAATCTAACTACCATTTTTAGCTTGAGGACAGAATAAAAACAGGCTATCTACCATAGTTTGATGAATCTTGATCAATATTAAATGCTCCTGGTAATAAAATAAGTCAGACTTATATTTTTATGCCTCAAAGCATGTAGCAAAGTACACTGTGCATAGCAAGCACTTAAGCATGTGTTCCATGATTGCACATAACTACCATAGGGGCTCTTTTGCAAAAACAAACAAACAAACACAAAATATCTTCTAGGGAAGTCTTTCTAAATATATCCAGCTTTAGATTTAATACTTCATCACCTAGTCAGATTTGGTCACTTATATATTTGTTTTACCAAAGTCCCCAAGGAACATTTGGTTGAAACACCTTTTGCTCAAACTTGAATACAATAAGTATATAACTTTTGATTCAAGAGCATCTTGCCTTTTAAACAATCAGTGTTTTGGTCCAGCTGCTCTATGGGTATTTATAATAGCAGACTACAAAAATCCTAGTACATTTTGTTGATTGTGAAATGTTCTTAAATACATTAACCAGTAACAGACTTGCCTATATGGTCTTCTATAGTATTCCCCTATATCACAAAATAAATGAATGCAAATTTTGTTTTGTAGAAAAACAACAAACAAAACAACTCCAGATCTCCCTACCCAAGTAGACTTCAAATGAAAACCAAAGGAAGGGAAAAGAACATGGTACACATGACATTTATTTTAGACTCCTGGTCTGATTCTTATTAGCTCGTCCCCAGTTTCTTTCAGATTTTGGACATGTCACCAGCCTATATTTCATTGGCTGACATCTTCTAGGCACTCAGCTAATCTTACAGCAATTTAGTTGAATATGTGGAGATAAAGTGGCTCTTAAAGCCTCTACTCTGCTCTTAATATTCAAAACGTATGTTGTTCTGAGAGTCTTAGCCTTGATTATAATTACAATTAAGAATTGTACAATTCAAGGGCACTCAAATTGAGTTGCAGAAAAAAAAAATCTTTAATATAGTTCTACCTACTTTGTGGCCTAGTCGTGCTGAAATATTTTTATTTTGCATTTCTCCAACAATATTTTTGCATAGAAAGAAATCTTCCAGTGAACCCAGTTTAAATGAGATTGACCTCATGCTTGCCTACCTCAAAGGAAACTCATCATATCTTGCTTTAGGAACAGAGAGAAAATTATCTTTCCCACTCTCCACCAATCTCCACAAAAGACGTTATTAGGCTTAGTAAAATGTAATAGGAGAAATCCAGATTGTTCTTTTTGATAAAGGGAACTACCTTTATTATTATTTCCTTGCATCTACCAACATTATTGGGATGTCATTCCTCTCTCTTCCTAAGGTCAGCCAGTACTTCAGAGCCTATTCGACACTGGATATTTGCCTAATTTAAGGTTACTCTGAAAAGACAACTTTCAAAACAAAACATATAATTTACTATCATTTTAGGAACCACTGTCTCAATTCCTAAGAGGAAGCCATTTCTTCCCAGGAAACAATGTTATTTATGAAAAAACAATAAGAAAAGTGGAGAAGCTAAATACTGATCAGGTAAGTAATATTTTGTTTTAAAACTTGTTTTTAAGTGTATAATTTTGAATTGTATTTTAATAGAGCTCAAGTGACATTCAACTCTGAAGTGCAAGGCAAGACCACCATGAGTTATAATATGCTATGATATCTACAGCCCTTCATACCATCCTTAATACTTTCATACCCATTTTTCATGTGAAGTATTATTGTCCTCATTTTACTGAAAGAAAATTGAAACCAGGATATGTGAAGTCACATAGAAAATTAATGGCAGAATCTGAACTTAATAAAGATATCCTAATGCCTTGTATGTTTTCCTTTAAACTGGTCCAACAAAAATCATAATTTAAAACATTATAATTTTGTTCTAATTCTTTTAATATAGAACGAATTTTAAATGTACAATACATACGAACAGATATGTGAAATACCATATACTGTAAAAGATCTAGAAAACTAAAGCTTCTAGTACATTTAAAAAATTCTGTTAAGCTCAAATCGACAGACCAAGTATAAAACTGCAGCACCTGTTGTTTCCTGACTTTTTAATCATTGCCATTCTAACTGGTGTGAGATGGTACCTCATTGTGGTTTTGATTTGCATTTCTCTGATGGCCAGTGATGGTGAGCATTTTTTCATGTGTTTTTGGCTGCATAAATGTCTTCTTTTGAGAAGTGTCTGTTCAGGATGTGGAGAAATAGGAACACTTTTACACTGTTGGTGGGACTGTAAACTAGTTCAACCATTGTGGAAGTCAATGTGGTGATTCCTCAGGGATCTAGAACTAGAAATACCATTTGACCCAGCCATCCCATTACTGGGTATATACCCAAAGGACTATAAATCATGCTGCTATAAAGACACATGCACACGTATGTTTATTGCAGCACTATTCACAATAGCAAAGACTTGGAACCAACCCAAATGTCCAACAATGATAGACTGGATTAAGAAAATGTGGCACATATACACCGTGGAATACTATGCAGCCATAAAAATGATGAGTTCATGTCCTTTGTAGGGACATGGATGAAATTGGAAATCATCATTCTCAGTAAACTATCGCAAGAACAAAAAACCAAACACCGCATATTCTCACTCATAGGTGGGAATTGAGCAATGAGAACACATGGACACAAGAAGGGGAACATCACACTCTGGGGACTGTTGTGGGGTGGGGGGACGGGGGAGGGATAGCTTTAGGAGATATACTTAATGCTAAATGACGAGTTAGTGGGTGCAGCACACCAGCATGGCACATGTATACATATGTAACTAACTTGCACATTGTGCACATGTACCCTAAAACTTAAAGTATAATAATAATAAAAAAAACTGCAGCAAGGCCACAGTAATTCCATGGCATCTAGAGCCGCAAGTCCTTCATGCAGAGTTGTTACTATAACCAACAGAGGTTTCATATTGCTCTTCTCAGTTCATATAAGCATGTCCAGCCCAATGTCCAGGACTTGTCTGTTGGACATTCTTGAACTAGGGCACTGTATTAGTTTCTTAGGGCTGCTGCAACAAAGTGCCACAGACTGTATGGTTTAAAACAACAGAAATTTATTGTCTCACAGTTCTGGAGGCCAGAAGTCTGAAATTACTATGTTGGCAGGGCTATGTTCTCTCTGAAGCTGCCAGAGAAGGAACTCTTTCATTCCTGTCTCCTTGCTTTTGGTAGCCTCAGACATTCCTTGGCTTGTAGATGCATCACTCCAATAATTTATCTTCATATGGAAACTTTCCTGTGTGTCTTCACATCATCTTCCCTCTGTGCATGTTTGTTTCTGTGTCCAATTTTGCATTTTTATAAGGACACCAGTCATATTTTATTAGGGCCATCCTAATGACTTGATTATCTCTATAAAGACTCTGTCTCTAAATAGGGTCACATTCTGAGTTACTGGGGTTAGGACTTCACCATATCTTGGGTATGAGAGGGTACAATTCGACCCATAATAGGCAGTTAAACACTATCAAATCAGTTGCGATGACAAAATCATTTTTTTCATATGCAAATCAAACGGACTAAAAAATTCTAGCTTTTCCTTTTTGAACTTTTTGGCATAAGAACTCATTTTATTTTTTATGAGCACTTGTGGACATTTGTTACCAGATTCATAGGAACTAATGCATTATTACTTATTTGTGTCCAGTTAAAATGAAGCAAACTTTCAGAATCATAAACATGCAAATCTTTAACATTTTGGTTTGCTTGGAAAGCTGGGATATAGTCTGAAGGGTTTGCTATGGTATGTATTGAATACTCATCTTACAGAGGAGCAGCAGAATATTTCTGGACATTATGATACCAAGCAGAAAAAATTTCATGAAATGTACCTATTCCTCAAGGAGTGTTTTCCTTTATAAGAAATCAAATTATAACATCTGTCCTTTATCCAACTGGGCTACAAAAAATAAGTTTGACACGTTTTAAATAGTAAGGAATGTTAGAGGCAAATCATTTCATGCTGCTTCTAGCTTCTTGTTTTAAAGAGAACAAATAGTGTTTCTAATTCTTGGACTCTGGAGTAAAAGATTGAATATCTTGTACATTGTTGCTGTGCAGCTGGAACAACTAAAGACTAGCTCCTTTAAGAGAATACTGCTGCTATTTACTGTTAACTCGAATATTTACTTGTTTATGCCCACTTTATCTTATTAATTACTTAAACAGTTTCGGAGTTTGGGAACCACCACGAAAGCTGCCCAGTGTAAAAGGAACCATGCAGATAGAGCAAACTGCAATTGCATTGTCCTACTAGTTTCCTCATTGGTGGAGATAAACTAGGACAATCTGAGTAAAGCCAGAGTCTGGATGAACCTGTTTACCGTAACATGTGACCGAATCAAATAGGACTAGCTCTTAGGAGATGAGAAATGTTCAAGAAAAAAGAGATCTTTGTGTTGGAAGGGTGGTAAAGTGGTGCCAGGTGCAAGATAACTATCCAATTCATATGATTTGTACTCATCATAATTCTTTTTACTCTATCAAAAAGGAAAAACAATATGACAAATCAGAAATGTTTGATCTGTCTGTACTTTAAAAATTCAGCTTACTATATATTTTAAAAATATGATGAATATATGAACATTTTGCTTTAGAAAAAGAACTTTAGTGTAAGAATTGAAAACTGAAAACCTGCTAAGACCTCAGTGGTACCAGTAAATTGTTGACAGGCCAAATGGGCTCAGGTAGACTGCAAGGCACCCCAGATTATGGGAATGTCAGTGTTCTATTCAAGAGACAACTGATACATTAACAAAGGGAGATTTTTAAGAAACAGTTTTTGATTTCTTTATTGCCCTCTAGTGATGTGTGCTTTCCAAGAGTTTCCTAACTTGCTTTGTGAGGAACATACTGTTTTGTTTTGTTTTATTCCTTCAGGAGAGCTTCTATTTCAATAGCCTACAAGCTCTCCAATGAGTGATAGTCATCTCAGACTATCAGTGTAATTTTACCTCATTCCAGTATATGAAGATATTTTGTAACATAAAAGATAATAGTAATGTAACATACATTCACCCCCAAAATTCCTAAACTGTAAAGATTTTAGTGCTAGTGTATGTACAAAGTGTGCTATTTGAAAAGAGTCTAGAGAAAATGATAGCAGGAACTTATTCTATGACCTTTATTATCTCTATATCTACCAAGGCAACTTCTATTTGTAAAATGTGTTTATTTATATATATTTCATTTTTCAAAATATTTTTGTATACATGAAAAGGTAATTTTTATACATGGAAAAATTTTAAAGTATAAAAAACATTGAAAGGAATAAAAAGAGCATTAAAAGGTATACAGTGACAAATAAACCTCCTTATCCAGACACTTTTGTCCCCAGTTTCTCTTCCCAGAAGCAGCTACTCTTAAAACTATTTTGGTCTATGCATATCAAAGCAGTTATATATGTTTGTAAATGTATACGTCACTTTTAAAACATGTTACAGCAGAAAGAGTATACTATTTCATTCTTTTGTACTTTTTTCATTTAATACAGCTTGAAAATTGTTTCATATAAAAATGTAAAATATGAAGTGTTTTACTGTATTAATATAGGCCAACTTTCCATAGTCAAAAGGATATAGTGCATTGCATTTTTACTTTCAAAATTAATTGTATGTGCATACATGTAGCACTGTGATTCAAAATACAGTATGTTTCTTTTGAAAACAGGCTTCCAGATGTCTCTTATCGAAGTAGAATAATCACAAGATAAGAAAGCAAATTCAAGTATGCCTGAAATCCCCCAAACTAAAATAACTGGATATCTTTTCTTAGTCTGTGCTCTATACTTACCAGAAAAAAGCCATGACAAATAAGCAAATAACAAAGATTTAGTTTAAAAACAACAAATTCCAGAATATCTTGAAGTCAGTGCAAATTCAGCCTAATATCCTAAAAGAAGTCTAAGCTGGAAATCATGGGTTCCAGTCCCAAGTTTGTCATTAATTAGCTGCATTACTATGAGCAAATTATCTTACTTTTCTAGACCTCAGAGTTTTTTTCTTTCATCTGCAAAATTAGTAGGGTAAATGATGATAAAGTTGATGATGACTATGACAATGATGATGATGTGATCATAATAATAATGTTTGTTACTCACCTACTTTGTAGTAATCAACTTATAGACATTAGCTTATTTACTCCTCATAGCACCCCTATGGAATATGTACCATCTTCACTTTTATAAATGGGAAAAATGGAGGCTCATAAAGGTTGCATATACAGTTTCTCAAGATCAGAGTTAGTGATAAAATCAGAGTTAGAATCCATGTTTTCTAGGTCTAAAGTTTCAGTCGCTGGTTTTTTTAATCTTTTTAAGAAATTTATCCTTAAGTTTCATAAGGATAAGAACTTTGCTCCTCACCCACTGTGATTCTAATATGCTTCCTGACATTGAAAATCACTATATTATTTTTTAATTTTAAATTTACCTATATCTTCGGTATTATAGTGTTTTATGTAATTAGATTCTGAAGTGCCTACTGAATCATCAAAGTAATATTAATATTAATATTCATTATGGTTTTAGTGTTAAGTATAGCTGGAATATTAATTTAATTAGAACATGCAATGCCTTGGCCAATCTACATAAGTATTCGGATGGTCACGACAACCTGATCAAATAAAAACAGAATTCAATACAAATTTTCCCAATGAAAAAAATTGAAAAAATATCACTAGTTAAATCTATAAATCCTAGGGTTTGAATTATAGTGAAAGAAAACATTAAGTTTAAAAAAATGGTTTCAGTTGTTTTTCTTGATTAGTAATGTTTATCCTAAGTGGCTGTTTTTGGCATGTGTATGTGTCTTAGGGGTGCCATCCTCAGGCTCAATGCCATCATCACATTATCCAACAGCCCCAGGTCATCCACTCTGCACACTGGCAACAACCTGATTCTAGCCAGCAAATCCAAGCCATCACAGGAAATAATCCAATTTCTACACATATTGGAAATGAACTGTGCCATAGTGGATCAAGCCAGATTTGTGAGCAGGTAAGATCAATCAGCTGATTCCTTAACAAACTGAAATAATGTTCTTGAACTCTTCTCATACCACTATGCAGGTGCTCCCATTAAATTTTCATCAAAATACTGAGAAGTTATATCACTGGTATTTGTGCCTTGTCAGCATTTTTAGAACAAATCTTCCCATCTTCTCTCAGAAGACAAAACAATTTAGGTCGATTAAGACATTAAATCTATGAGGTTAGTTATGAACTGGTTAATGAATACCTAATTTGTAGCTGATCTTCAGTTCTAAAATGGGCCCAACAGTTGTGCAATGTTAAATATTTTCACGAGGTATGGTATTTAAATGAACAATAAATTGGAAGTTATATTATCTAAGATGATTTTAATGGTCACATTTCACAAACTGGTATTTACTTCCTGTATGTCTTCTTTGAGAATATATACATATTTTCTGTATGTCTTCTTTGAGAATATATTATTTGTCTTGAGAATCAAGTCAAAATATGTATAGATTTTATTATGTATCACATTGACAAAATAGAAACTAGAACTTAGTTGCTAAGGAGAAATCTCATGTAATACAATTCTTGGTAATTAATTTATGTTATGAAAATTTTGGAATCTTATAAACATCTGCTATACAAGTGTTGAAGGAAAAAAGATTTTCTTGTATGTTGGTAAAACTAATATTAATAACTGGAACAATGGGGAATCAACCATCACTTGTATTTTTCTAGATCTCCAATTGACCTCTTTCATAGGCACCTCTTACTAAAAGACAAAAGAAAACAAGAAAAAAATAAAGAAGGAGCCAGCCCACATAAGAATTTGATTATTTTATATTAAGTATACATGAGATTATTTCTAAGAACTGAAATTTTGAAATATACATTTTGGCCACATTAATCAAAAAGAACAACAAAAGATTTAAAATCCATGTTTTTTCAATCTAAGAAAAGCCTAGAGCCAGGTTCGGTGACTCACATCTGCATTTCCAGCACTTTGGTAGGCCAAGGCTGGAGGATCTCTTGAAGCCAGCAGTTCAAGACAAGCCTGAGCAACATAGTGAGACCCTTATCTCTACATTTTTTTAAATTTTCTAATTTTAAAGAAAAGCCTAAAATTGTCTTTCTTCTGTATATCTGCACAGAAACATTGGCCTCTAGAATAACTCATAGAATACAATCCAGAAGGTATTGAATATTTACCTTAAGTGTATTAGATATAACCATAAAAGAGCCATTTTATTAGATTAGATCATTTGAAATTGTCATTTTTGTAGGTTGAAACTGGTATAATAGCAACAATTTTATACAGTTCAACCTAATGCTTAACTTTGCTTTGCCTTAGTTTCTTCTAATAGGGGAAAGTGGCAGGCACATAAAAAAGCATAATACAAACCAAAGTGTTTTCAGTCATAAAAGAGGAAAAAACAACACACTTTGGGAACAAAAGACTGAAGAAATTAATTTTGGCTGAGAGATCAAGGAAGGCTATGTTGAGGAATTAATTAACCTGGGCTTTGAAAAATGGGCAGAATTTCTATATATGGTATTGTGATATTGCATGGAAATAATATCCTAGGAAGAGAGAATCACATAAACAAAGTTATAGATTTGGGAAAGTAAATTCTGGGTTTCAGAAAAAGTTAGGGGTTTGATTTGTATGGCATGAAAGACATGTGACAAGGAGTATTATGGTGTAGTGTTAATATGATACATTAAGGCCAGGTCATGAGATTCTCAAGTGTTAATTTAAAAACTTTGGGCTTTCTTTAGTAGGCAATGGAGGGTGAGTGAAGGTTGCTGAGTAGGAAAATACTAATAGATATGGCTAGCATATTGATTAATTTTCTTCTTACAATGATCAGATTAGGAAGGTGCTATTGTTGTCCTTATTGCTCATATAAGGTAACCGAGTTTCAAAGAGTTTAAATTATTTGCAAAGGCTTATACAGCCAGCATGCAGTAAAGCCAAGATTTATACATATGTAGGCTGACTCCAGAGCCCATTGATAGTTCCTCCTTGAATTTGGGTCACTTATGTGGAGAGTCCTTGAGCAATAGTATAAACATAAAGAAAGCACTTGGTTAAGAAGAGTCTGCCACAGGGAAGGTATTGGTGATAGAAAGCAGACTAGTTTCAGTGTATGGGGACCTGGGTTCTTGTCTTAACTCTGTTCCTCTCAAGCTATGTGTTCTTAGTAATACAAAATCTCTCAGCAACATCCTCATCCATAAAATACTAAATAAAAATATGTGCTGGAAATTTTTTATAAACTACAAAGTCTACAACTTGAAAAAATCAATGGAGAAAACTTTGCAAATGAAAGATTATTAGAAGCTATTTCAATAGTCTAGGTGTAAAACAAAGTAGAATAATGACAATAGAAATGGTAGAAGGGACAATGATCAGAGATGGGAACTGTATGACAGGATTAAGAGTTTTGTCCAGTGGCAACAGTAATGTTATAATATTCTTTCCCCAGCTTAGTACATCTAATAATACATTTGACTAGATTACATGTTGTCTACTCAGTAAAGGGGCAAAGTTGGGTAACTAATGTATCACTTTTTTATTATTCATACTGTAGTTTGAGATTTCTATGTAGCTTCTGTAAAGGCTGGAGGATTTTTTTCTTTAATTTTATTAAATTCCGCTTTTTTTCCATTTTAGATAATCTCTTTTTTTATTATACTTTAAGTTCTCGGATACATGTACAGAACGTGCAGGTTTGCTTATATAGGTATACACGTGCCATGATGGTTTGCTGCACCCATCAACCTGTCATCTACATTAGGTATTTCTCTCAATGCTATCCCTCCCCAGCCCCCCACCCCCAGCTTTTTCAATATTTTATAAGGATAAAGTTGAAGTGCTGCTGAAAATAGAATAGGCCCTTGGAAGCACCACTCTACAGGAAGCTTAGAGTTAGTAATTTCACTTGTATAGATTACTTTGGATTGGGTCCATTCCTGCTCAGAGTGATGACAGGGTAACCTGCTTGTGCAGATCCCATGGACAAAGGAGGGAGTTCTCCCACCTAGGCACCTTGGTGTTTACATGTCCCCTGTAGTGATATGTGGGTAGAAGAGTATCTTTAAAGAGTGATGCGCAGACATAGATTAGGCTCTTTTAAAACTAAAGTAGGACCCATTTTCATGGTTTGTGTTTAGAGTTAAACTGTAATTTGGAAGGAGCGTGGTAAAGAGGAATAGAACACAGGCATTCAATTTAATTATCTGAATTTATAAAACCTGATCCTGCTGAGCTGCATGACCTTCAGCAATAGACTTAGCTGGACGGAACCTCAGTTTCTACATCTCTAAAAGGGGAAGAATCATACTTTAATGTACAATATATCCTACAAGAGGATTAAATGAGATAAAATATGTAAAGCACCTATCTTAGTGTCAAGTACATAGCAGATGCTGAAATTAATGTTTGATTATTGATCTTCTTGCCCCAACTCTGGGTCGCAAATGTTTCAAATCACCAATATAAGAAATTAGTTTCATTGTAAGACTATTTTTAGATGAAACTAGATCACCTTTAAAGTACTTTCCCCAAAGTGAAAGGCATTAAAAATATTTTTCAAAATCAGATATCTAAAACTGTGACTTTAAAATATTTTTATAAAATTAATTTATGTGCATTTTCCATGGTCCTCCCTACTAATATCACCCTTTTGATTTCAAATTCAAAATATTACAAGTTACATATACTTCCCTGAAGAAATTAAGGATAACTTGCTGTGATCATTTTCCTGTCATTAGCAAGGAACAGATAATTTTACACCTGTTGATGACAGGGAACAGCTCAGCTGAAGTCATTTTACAAGTTGTCATATAGGTGGCATTTGTAAGAAATATTCAAATAAGTGTATATAGTGTGTGTGCAACTCTCTTCCACTTGGCTTAAGGATTCAGGGAAGTCTTTTGTAGTCATGGGAAGATGTAAAGGGAACAGTCCTGATCACCTGGATAGTGCTATTGCCAATGAAAAATACTCCAATTTGTGATGTGATGCCTTCAATGAATTGACAGAAAACATCAGATCTTAGTGTCAGGTGCTTTTTCTGGCAGGTCTCTGTGAAGCTCACTATAATGTTTATTTAACATGTCATTCACCAATGATAGAATTTCAGGGCTGGTTAGTTCAATGAACTCAGCAGTTCTGTCTATCCCCTCGCTCATTAACAGGTGGCTCAACTTCCTCTCCATGTTTATTGCCCTCTTCAATCCCATTATTGAAAATGAGTGCCTTTTATGTAAACTTGTATCCCCTGCTGTTGCTCCCACAAATTTAATTAGTGTCCATTTGGGGCCTATCTTTTCCCAACACTACCTTATCTGTCTTCTGCAACCTCTGCAACCTCTTACTATGAAACCTTTTAGAACTATTGTTTTATGGCAAACTCAACTTTATTTTTAACACATTGTTACTTATTTGCTTTTTTATAAATTAGTTTTTTTAGTTAAAGTAATATATGTATATAGTTTAAAAGGCCAAATAGTAGTAAAAGGCATATAACAAACAGCAATTCCCTGTCCCTACCCTCTTCACCACCCAGAGCTGATCCCCAGAGGCAATCATTTTCAATTGTTAGCTTCGTCTTGTGATATTTACTTGCATTTAGCTAAATAGCTATATATAAAGCTAAATGGCATGCATGTATTTTCAGTATGCATAAACTTATAGTATGGGTATACTTATGCTGCTATGTCTTGATTTATCAGTGTTACATATTATCTGTTGATAATTCTGACACACAGGTTTAATTCTATTCATCTCTCATCTAACTGTTTTCATCCCTTCCATCATCCCAATATAGTTAAATCTCCATTTATTTTTGGTAAATCAGTGTTCAGTGTTTATATTATTATTGCTATAAAATATCATTTACTGCTGAACCAAATTGTGTATTATTTTGCTTCTTTTATTCGCACAACTTTTTGCTGGTGTTAATAATTCTCTAATTTTTTTCATTTGCTTGGTTTTTGTGTATCTATTGTTAATTCTTTTCTCAATACACAAATGTTCTGGTTCCTATTGATCAATTATCCCTTATCAGCTTTCTACTCTCCTTGAAACTCTGTAATCCTTATACACCACCTGCCTTGGTTTGAATTATCACTCTCTACTGACATTTTGGTCACTCTCTCTGTCCTTCAACAGTTTCATCAGCCAACTTACAATCTTCTCTCCACTTCCTACTGAATCTAGAATCATCTATAAGAACTTCACCAACCACATCAGTACCCTTTCCCACACTGTCTTCATGGTTCTTCCTCACTCTCAATTTCTTCATTTCTACATCTTCAGTTCACATAGCTTTCAGCCAGTCCTTGAATTTATATCTTCACTTGAAACTGTTTAACCTGGGATTCTGAATGTCTCTTTCTCTTGCCATCACATTCTTGTTTTATCTCTTACTCTCTCATTTCTGTTTAATGTCACCTTCACCAAACTCTCCATCCCTCAATTCTAAGCCACACTGGTTTCCATTGTCAGCCAGTTCAGCAATGATCTTGCTAGAAGCCCTTCTCCTTTTACTGGCATCACTTTGCTGATCCTTTGCTTTGTGTAGACTGCCATCCACCTTCTGTGCCCCTAGATTTTGACTTCTTTGTATACTAGAGAGTCTTCAGACTAAACCAATTTAGTCTAGTACAGATTGTCTCGGTCTTTCTGGACTCCCACCATTGTTAAACAGCCTTTTTAATTGATTCTAATCAACTCATTACCAGTCTTCAATGTCTAATTCTTATCTATCCCACCCTGCTCATACTCCAAGTCTCACTGCTGATGTCTCCCTCTCTGCAGGTAGCCTTGCCTTCTACTAACAATGGATGGTGGAACTCAAACTTTAGTGGGCACCAGAATCAATTGGAAGAATTATTTAAGGAGAGATTGCTGGGGCCTGATAATCTGCATTTTCAAGTTCCCTGGTTATCCCAATGCTACTTTACTGGCCCAGGGACCACGATTTTGGTTCACCACATAAATTCCTTCAATGCTCCACTTTACTGAAAATTTTTTCTATACCTTCAGCAAACTTCTGATTCTTTTGATCTTCAAGAATTAAGACTCTAACTTTGTGATCAGGGTGACTCCCTTTGTGACCCTACCATTCTATTGACTTATAATCTCATCTCTTTTGTTCCCTTCATCTGAAAAATTTCCAAAGGAGGGAGACATACTCTCAGATGCTATATTCTCACTACTCACACATTCCTCAACACTGCAAACCAGATTCTAGCTTCACTATGTTCCTGAAACTGCTTTTATTGACCTCCAAGTTGTTGAATCCCACTTACTTTTCTTGACCCTCATTTTGTTTCAGTTCTACTGCATTTAGCACTGCTAATCTATTCTATTCTTGATATCTTTCTTTCCATTATACTATACTGCAGCTTCTATGACTTCTTCTCAGGCACTTCTTCCTTCTTTCATCTGGACCTCTTCTCCAAGGACCCATTCTTGGCCCCTGATATAGTTTGGCTGTGTACCCACCAAAATCTCATCTTGAATGATCATGTGTTGTGGGAGGGACCCAGTGGGAGGTAACTGTATCATGGGGACAGGTCTTTCCCATGCTATTCTTGTGATAGTGAGTAAGTCTCATGAGATCTGGTGGTTTTATAAGAGGGAGTTTCCCCGCACAAGCTCTCTCTTTTTGCCTGCTGCCATCCATGTAAGACATGGCTTGGTCTTCCCTATCTCCCACCATGATTGTGAGGCCTCCCAAGCCATGTGGAACTGTAAGTCCATTAAACCTCTTCCTTTTATAAATTGTCCATTCTCAAGTATGTCTTTATCAGCAGCATGAGAACAGCCCCCCTTCTTTTTCTCTACCCTCTATCCCTTGACAACATGATATAAAATCTTGACTTTTGCTACTACTTTTGTATGGACAATACCCAAAACTTTCTCAGCTCCAATGCATCATTTTTAATTGCCTACTTGACATCTCTACTTGACTGTCCCACAGTCATCTCAAACGAATCATATCCGCTTTTCACTTTCTCTCATCTATCAATGATATATCCAGTGCTTTATTTACTAGTCTTAATATTTAACATCATTTTTTTAACTGCTCTGTCTGCTTTGCCACTCCACACCTAATTAGTTGTCATAGTTTGATGATTCTTTCTTCATACAACCTCTCTCATACAGCTGAAAGTTAAGTTTTCTTCTTGGAACTCTTAGCATTTGATCTGTAGCTCTCGTTAGGCCCTTGTTGCAGAATTCCCATTGTTTATGAGAAAAAGGTTTGCAAATTCTTGATACTCACTTTGTAGTACAAGAAAAGATCATACATTTTATTTTCCCATGAGAAAGAATAATTTACGCTGTTACAAATGTTATTATTCAGTTACTTATACTCATTATAAAATTACAACTCAAACCACCTACATTGTTTTTAATTGGTTTGGAAAAGAAGAATGTCAAACTGGAAACACACACTCACACACCAAAAGGAAGTGAGAATAGCTTTGAATAAGTTTCACTAAATCCATTTCAGTGTGATTTGTTAAAGCACCTCTTACAACCAGTGCTTTTCCCTCTGTTCTGCTTAATATGTAGCTGCAATTTTATCCTTTGTTATAATCAACTTTCTCACTACTTACTTACCTTGAAAGATTAGGCTATTAAAAGGGATGTCCTTAATATTTCTTTTGATGAACAAGATGAGTTGATGCAGAATCAGCATTATTATTATTTTTATGGTGATAAAAATATTTTTATCCAACAAATGTTTACTTAGGACTTATTATATTCAGGCACCATGCTGGGCACTAGAACTTAAAAAACAACAGTATCTGTACTCCCAGGCAGCTGAGAGTCTTATAGAAAATGAGGCAATTGTCTTTCATTTATTCTGTCATTTCAGTAGCAAACTGTACATATGCCTTAAATTAAAGAAAATTATTTGCACAATTGTTTAACAATTTACTGAGCACTTCCCCCCCATTTAATTTTATTTGATGCCTTCTGCAATTTTATAAAATAAGTACTAAATTGCCTACATAATACAGTTGAGAAATACAGGCACAGAGAAGTTAAGCAATTTACTTAACTCACAAATGGGAAATGGAAGCTCCACATTTGTTCTCAAATTCAATTCTTTTTTCATTGCAACACTTTGCTATCTATGTTTTTTCACACAGAAAGTTAAATTAGTTCTTTATTTCAAGTACAGAACTGTTATAAAGAAGTCTTCATTTTAGAATTGTGACTATTGTACAGTACATTCAATTCAGTGACAACATGTGTTGAAAATCTAATATGAACCAGGAGGTGGGGCGAGATGGACAAAGAGAAGCTTCCACCAAAGAGAAGCTTCCACCGATTGTCCTCCCTGCAGGAACACCAAAATTAACAACTAGCTACATACAAAAAAAAGCTTCTTCATAAGAACCAAAAATTAGGTGAGTGATCACAGTACCTGAATGTAACTTCGTATCACTGAAAGAGGCACTGATGAGGATAGGAAAAACAGTCTTGAATTGCTGATGCCACCCATCCCTCATAACCTGACAGAGGCTGTGTGGCAGGGAGAGAGAATCTGTGTGCTTGAGGGAGGGAGAGCAAGGTGAGTGTGGGACTTTGCATTGGAAATCAGTGCTGTCAAAATTGGGCAGAACTCAACTGACTTCAAATTATACTGCAGAGCTACAGTAACCTGGTAAAATAGCCTGGTAATGGCATAAAACAAACACATAGATGAATGGAATAGAATAGAGAACCCAGAAACAAATTCATGTATCTATAGTGAACTCATTTTCAACCAAGGTGCTATGAACACGCATTGGGAAAAGGACAGTCTCTTCCACAAACTGTGCTGGGAAAACTGGGTATCCATACGCAAAGGATGAAATTAAACCTCTATCTCTCACCATATACAAGAATAAAATCAAAATGGACTAAAGACATAAATCTAATGCCTCAAACTATGAAACTACTACAAGAAAACATTGAGGAAGCTATTCAGGACATTGGACTGGGCAAAGATTTCTTGAGTAATAACCCAGAAGCACAAACAACCGAAGCAAAAATGAACAAATGGGATTACATCAAGTTAAAATCTTCTGTACAGCTTTTAACTTGTGAAGAGACAACCCACAGAGTGAAAGAAAATATTTGCATACTGCCCATCTGACAAGGAGGTAATAACCAGAATATATGAGGAGCTCAAACAATAGGAAAAAAATCTAATAATTTAATTTTTTAAAATGGGCCAAATATCTGAGTAGAGATTTCTCAATAGAAGGTGTACAAATGGCAAACGGGAGGTGTAAAAATGTGCTCAACATCATTGATCATCAGAGAAATGCAAATCAAAACTACAGTGAGAGATTATCTCACCCTACTTAAAATGGATTTTATCTAAAAGACAGGCAATAACACATGCTGGTGAGTATATGGAGAAAAGGGAACCATAGTACACTGTTGGTGGGAATGTAAATTAGTGCAACTACTATGGAGAACAGTTTGGAGGTTCCTCAAAAAACTAAAAATAGAGCTACCATATGATCCAGCAATTCCACTGCTGGGTATATACATAAAAGAAAGGAAATAACCAACATTTGGAAGGAATCTAAAAATTTTCTTTATCCAACAGTCTAATGGATAAAGAAAATTTGGTACATATACACAATGAAGTACTATTCAGCCATAAAAAGAATGATATCCTGTCAGTTACAATAACATGGGTGGAAAAGGAGGACATTATAGTAAGTGAAATAAGCCAGGCACAGAAAAACAAATATTACATGTTTTCACTTATTTGTGGAAACTAAAATACAAAACATTAGAACTCATGGAGATAGAGAGTAGAGTATGGTTACCAGAGGTTGAGAAGGTTAGTGGGGCGGGGGTGAGAGAGTATTAGGGATTGTTAATGGGCACAAAAAAGAATTAGAAAGAATAAGATCTAGTATTTGATAGAAAAACAGTGTAACTATAATCAACAATAATTTAATTGTACATTTAAAAATAACTAAAAGAGCATTATGAATTGTTTGTAACACAGAGAAAGCATAAATACTTAAGGTGATTGATACCCCATTTACCCTGATGTGATTATTACATATTGCATGCCTGTATGAAAATATCTCAAACATCCCATAAATATGTACATCTACTATATACAGACAAAATTTAAAAATTAAAGAAAAAGAAAAAAATATAAAAGATAATCTAATATGCACTAGGTAGCATCATTTCTTTATTAAAATATCTACATAGATTAAAATAATAGTGAGGATTTTCAGAACCTAAAATTCTTTTACTTTTTCTCTTGTTAGAATTGCTACTCCTGGTATAAAATAAGGAGACCAATTATTTATTTTTACCTCATTAGCCAAATGACATTGTATCTGAAATGCATTTAATTTTGTCAGGGATTAATGCCCACTGGATTAACTATGTTTGAATCAGTCTAACAGATATTAAATGTTCCAAATCAAAGCAAAATCAAGTAGTAATCTTATACATCCAAAACTGTCACCACATCCTTATAATCTTTGCTGGACATATATGTATAATCTATACGTTATAACCTTTTACTAATAGTGAGGTTTTCCATTGCCATGCAGCAGTTCAAAACTTACTACCCAGTTGGATCTTAATACAGCAGATCTTATTACTTAATATTTTCATGACCTTTTAGGAGTTTAGTTACTTAGATATAATTGCTTTTACATAACATGGCATTTTAAGCGCTTTATAATCTCTAAACGACCCTTCTAAATAGGTGAAACATGCACACATTTAAGCCAGTTACCTAGTAGGAATAAATTTAATTAAGCCAAGACTGTTCTACTGGATTGTCATTTGTTCCTTGACTACAAACTATCCCTACCCCTGAGAAGCATTCTCACAAATGTTTGTTCTTAAGCTGAAGGGAAACCAGGCAAGAGAATATAGATAGCTCAGCTGAAATCAGCAACTATTGATTGTGCCTTATAATCACTACCACTGAACGATGTAAATATGGTTGGTTAAGTGTGTTGTCTTTGAATATGAAAGTTTATAAAGTGTGGAGGCTAGCAAGAAAAGTCCACCTACTACTCATAGATCACAAATATGAAACAACACCCCAAATTGGAGCCAGGTCAAGAACTTCCAAGGCAGTAGTGAGGTGAGGTCTGTAATTTCTCTTTAGAAATGACTTCCTTTTGAAATTACTTCCTTTCTACAGATTTTCCCAGAAAATGGACACTAATTTGCCTCTGGTTGCACACTTAAGCATTGTTGCTTTGCCTTGAGTTTACTGGAGCTATTATCATCATGGGCTTCTCATCTATAATTAGAGACAAGGAATTAGACTGTTTGGCAATTATTATAGTCAAATAGTGATCCGATTAAACGTACTTCATTGATGCATGCTCATGAATCTAACAATTTTTGTAGTTTTTTAGAAAATTATCATGTTTTGTGTATCCGTATATGTTTATATTCTTCAGCACAGCCTGTATTCCTTCCTTGATTATAGATAAACAACTAAATTAATTATCAAAGATTAACATTTGAGATAGCTCTCATTCATCAGGCAGATGAGTATATATGAGGTGCAGCTATATTTCAAGTCAGTATTGTAACAGGGAGAAAACTTCTATCCATTACTGCTACCATTATTCTGGCCCAAGGCACTCATGTATCCTTGGGACGACTTCTATCTTGGCTTTCTCAAGGCAACAAAAAAGATAGCTTTGAGCCAACTCTAAAAGCTATGTCGAAACACACCCACAAATAGTTCCATTAAAATTAAGAAGCTCCAAAGAGCTGTGATTTAGTAATGGAAAATATTGCTAACTAGCACAACACAGTTTATGGTTAGGAAATTTCACCTTGGTCTTGAGTAATAGTCCTGACTTAACAATAGATGAGAATTTTAATTCCCTCAGCCCTCCCCCCTCCCAAATTTGAACCCAAATGGATTATGGATTCCAAAAGGGCTAGTTTGGTCCTTATCTTATGATTTTCTTAAACACATTGACTGTTTAAATGAGACATAATTGTGAATAACGACTTACCTGCTTTTGACTTTCATTTCCTGAGAGGAGTCAATCACTGAGAATCTGATGGACATTATTCAGAAGTCTATGTAGAATTCAAATACCAGCCTCCAACTCTATAAGGAGTTCAGTTTAGTTGCTCCAATTAGACTGTGTGATGACACTGACTCTTCCTAGTAAGGAAGGTACAAGGGATCACCATGATATTCCTAAGGAAGGGCTGCCTGTACTTTTGCTGACTTTGTTAACCATTTGTTGTTGTTGTTGTTGGAGGCTTTAAGAGAGAAACCTGTAAAAAAATTCTTTCCAGAATTACTAGCACTTGGGGGCATTTCTAATCAGGTAGATGATTTCTTTCAATGCAACAAGTTTTAGTGAGCAGCTGTAGAGTATTTAATCAGTATTGTATTAGATACTATCAAATATACCAAAAAGTATGACTCATTCTTGTTTATTTCTTTTGTGGTAAAAAGAGGGTGCTGAGAAAACAAGACTTACATCTGTATAATAAAATAAAACAATTAAAAATAATTGAGCACAAAGAGCTGAATTGAATTAGCTTGTTGGCTGGCATAGTTTTAGTTTTCACGGATATGGTAGATTTTGAGATGAGTTTCAAAGGATGGGTAAGATTTGGATACACAACAAGAAGGACAGAGGGTATTTAAGCAGAAAACAATGTGAGTAAAATCCTAGAGGCAGGAATGTATGGTGTGTGCCCCAAAGAGTGAAATCTACTGTGGCTGAAGGAGAGAACGTACTGGGAAAAAAATAAAATTATGTATATCTAAGTATTTAAAGGTTTTATATAGAATATGTAGATATAGACATATGAATATATATCTATTTTCATATGTTATCTACATCTCTATATATGCACTACTTGTTAATTCTATGATATTTAAACATACTATGTGATGATATTGACTTTACAGGTTTACCCATCTACTCATGCCTTCACATATGAGAGTTTATTCTTTTTAAGAAATAATCATTATTTACTCAGGGAAGCAACTCCAAAGGGTACATGGACAAGATAACTAACATTGTGGTATATTCATCTAGACTGAACAAAAATGTGATGATACTACACTTTTTTTGTGTCTCACTTTTTTTAACTGACCAATATTTTATAAACTGATTTTTGTGTCACAAATGTAATTATGAAAACTTATCTTTGCTTACTTTGCAATTCTTCCATTTGCCTTAGAATGTACAGTTTTTTAAGGTCTGAATTCAGAGGAGAGGTTGAAAAGGAAGTATCAGTAGTCAAATTCAAATCCATTTACCATCTATATGCTTAAGAATAAATGTGTTTTTAGGGCACTTGGTTTTACATGCAATGTTGAAAGTAGTATGGAGTGTAACCTAAGTTATTATCCTCCAGGCAGTGCGTTTTGGGGATGGGAGCCACAGTGCCCAATAATATTGAAAAGATTGATACCCAAGAATAGGAAGCCAACAGAATGTGTCTTATTTAGGACACTGTTCATAGTAATTTGCGTCTAGGATTTCAAATGTCTCTGAAGTCTATGAGTTCTCTACAGTTGGCCCTGAGCTACTCTTTCCCATGTGAGATTGACTAAATATTGGCTTTAAATAATAAACGGGGGAAGTCAAACAAGAAATACGTTAAAACACATTGAATTGAGTAGGTTTATCTACCTTTAAGATATACTAACAAATCAGGCTGACTTTCACTTAGAATATGTGCGTCCAACTGGAAGTAATTCCTCTATAGTCAGTATAATTCAAAAATCAGTATGTCAAAGATATATCTGCACTTCCATGTTGATTGCAGCACTATTAACAATATCCAAGATATGAAATCAACCTAAGTGTCCATCAATGGATAAGTGGATAAAGAAAATATGGCATGTGTATACACAATGTACACAATGGAGTATATTCAGCCATAAAAAGGAATAAAATCCTGTCATTTGAGGCAACATTGATAAGCCTGGAGGACATTATGTAAACTGAAATAAGCAGAGCACAGAAAGATAAATATCACATGTTCTCACTTATATGGGGGAGCTAAATATATAAATATATTGATGTCATGCAAGTAGAAAGTAGAATAGTGGTAGCAAGAGGCTTAGAAGGGAGGGGGAAGAAAATATAGGAAGAGATTGGTTAACAAATCCAAAACTACCACTATGTAGAAAAAAATAAGTTCCAGTGTTCTATAACACTGTGGGGAGACTATAGCTAACAGAAATTTACTCTATATTTTCAAATATCTAGCAGAGAGGATTTTAAATGTTCTCACCATGAAGAAATGATTATTGTTTGAGGTGATGGATATGCTATTATCCTGATTTGATTATTACAGATTGTATGCAGGTATTGAAGTAGCACAGTAAAACTCATAAATATGTACTTTTATTATGTTTCAATTAATTTTTAATTTTAAAAATTAATAAAAAATATAATTCACATTTTCTTTTTCCACAGGAGACATATGAATAAGCCATGTGATTTAATTTACTCATTTTGCTGTTTTATTTAAGTGCCTATATTCAAGAATGTTTATGCTATGCAAATTTTGCTTTCATTTGAACACTTAGAATCGAGTGAAATGAAGTTGAAATTGCCATTGCAATGTTGATTTTTCTTTAAATTTCTCCCACATTAAAAAATGTATCCCTGAAAAAAATGGCTTGATTTATGTGATGACTTTAGTAGGTTATCTTTCTTTCGCTTCACATAAAAATATCTATGAACTTAGAAAAACTTAATATTGCTTACAATTGTGATTGATGTTTGCTTCAGGTGATAATTCAGGATGATGGCCCTGAAAAATTGGACCCCAGATATTTTGGAGAGTTGCTTGCTGATCTGAGCCGTAAGAATACGGATCTATATCACTGCTTATTAGAACATTTGCAGAGAATTGGAGGAAGGTACTGTAAACATATTATTTGCCTTGATGTTGTAGCTACCAAACATTTTACAACATTCTAGTACTTTAAAAATAGACTTCAGTTTTAGGTTCACAGCAAAAACTCTAGTACTTTCTATTTTATTTTTTTTAATTATACTTTAAGTTCTAGAGTACATGTGCACAACGTGCAGGTTTGTTACATATGTATACATGCGCCATGTTGGTGTGCTGCACCCATTAACTCGTCATTTACATTAGGTCTATCTCCTAATGCTATCCCTCCTCCCTCCCCCCAGGTAACAGGGCAGATATGAGCAAATGTCTCATTTTAAGAGTTAATGTAGATTATGAAAATCATCAGACAAAAAACAAAAAACACAAGCCCTTTTAGGATTAGTAAAGAATTCCATGTATCTTCCTTTGTGATGTACTTTCATGGCACAAGCAACATCTTGGGCAAGGAGCTCAAAAATGCATGGCATACTATAACTTGTTTTAAGATATTAAACTGATGATATTAGGTACCGTCCTACTGCCAACACACCACTGTTTGTCTTCCACTTATGTGATTTCAACATATGTAGGCCAGAGTTTAAAATATATTTGATATGTCACATATTATATATAAACTTTGTATATTATTATCTATTACATTAAATTAAAAATATACCAATAGATATAAACATAAACATAATTTTATATAACACAATATAAAATTATATAGATTTAAATAGATATTCATTAAAAATTTATCAACTGTTCATGTGTAGATGAGACCATATTTTGTCATGAAATGAATTCTATAAGCTACACCCCAAAAGGTGCCTTCTACTATATAATTACAGCATATCTGTGGCCATCTGTCAGGCAAAATCTAGGAAAGCTCCACAAATTCAAAATAATTTGGAAGATAAAGGAAAGTCAATAGAATATTTTCTAATTCAGACTTTTCACTAACTAGATTCTTCTAATTCTTAGATTTTAAATAATATATAATTTTATATAATATATAGGTTAATGTAAATGGGATGACACCATATATACTATTTTGTACGTTTTCTCACTCAAATATATATAGTATATATTTTTCCATGTCAATATTTTGGTGTCTGTAATGTATTCTCTCTTAATCTCTTGTATATCTTGTCTTTTCTCCATCTATTAGCTCCCTCCCACTTGATTTTTCTTGCTTTCATATTAATGACAACAACCATTATCTTACTGTCACCCTCAACTGCTTTGCCTCCTTATTGAACTGCCCTTCCCACTTAGCAAAACCCCAACTCTGGATTACTCTAACTCTCTGCCTTATTCTCTTTTTTTAAAAAAAAAAAAAACGACCACCACCTCCTTCATCCAACACCCACTATCTTTAGAATGCAGAGGGCTCCATGAGGGCTGCTTTATTTACCCTGATGTCCTTGGTGCATAGTGTGGTGGCTGGTTTACTGTGGTGCTCAATAGATAGTTGCTGAATGAACAAATGCCTTCATTACTGTTATGCCCATGGAGCTGATCACTGCTAGAGAAAAGCAGAGCCATTTATTTGAACCGGTGCCATTATAAATGCATGATTTCTATCTTCAACTTGGCCTTCATCATAGTTTTATCCTAATCAACACCATCTCCATTACCCATTACACAAACAAGTCTCCCTGTTTCCCATTACCCAAACAACTATTTCATCTCTTTACACATGTTCATTATTTTAAAATATTTCCCTTAATGTAATAATCAGCTATATGTTAAGCATCCACCATGTGCCAGGCATTATCTATATTACCTAATTTGCATGATAACCTTACAAACTTTCAGATGAAGACCCAAAGAAAATAAGTTATTAAGATCACACAGCTACTAAGTGCCTGAGATGGATTCAGACATTTTTGAGTACTGCTTTACCTATAATCTATGAACTTTTCTGCAAAGCCTTCCCTAAATCTTCAGTTTGTCCTAGGTGCTCTACTTCGGTGCATTAACCATGCCCTGTGAATATTTCTATCAAAGTATCACATTGTAAAATTCAGAAGTATATAGGACATAGTCTTAAGTACCCTTATTCTAGATCCAGAGTTCATATCCTGGGTTCATGTCACAGTTTTTTTTTTTGTTTGTTTGTTTTGTTTTTTTTTTTTACATACTAAATGTATAGTATCAGGCAAGTAAAAATACTTCTCTCATTCATTTGTTAAAGCAATAAATGAGTTAAGACATGTAGTTACAAGTGGCATCCGCATCATGTGAACATTTAGAAATAGACCTAAAGAATTAGAAATTCTGTGGGGAGGGCTCAGCAACACGCTCTTCAGAGGATTCTGATACATGATCAAGTTTGAGAACCACTAAACTAAAGTTGCAAAAGTGGCAAAATCTGGGACTAGAACCCACACTCTGAGAACCAATTTTCCTTAGGAAAATCACTTAACCTTTCAACACTAGATGTGTAATATCAGGCAAATTGTTTAAGATTTTGTAGTGGCTCACGCCTGTAATCCCAGCACTTTGGGAGGCCAAGGCGGGCGGATCCCGAGGTCAGGAGATTGAGACCATCCTGGCTAACATGGTGAAACCCCGTCTCTACTAAAAATACAAAAAATTAGCCGGGCCTAGTGGCGGGCGCCTGTAGTCCCAGCTACTCAGGAGGCTAAAGCAGGAGAATGACGTGAACCCGGGAGGCGGAGCTTGCAGTGAGCCGAGATCGCGCCACTGCACTCCAGTCTGGGCGACAGAGCCAGACTCCATCTCAAAAAATAAATAAATAAATAAATAAATAAATAAATAAATAAATAAATAAATAAAAAAGATATTGTATACAGGGAGTGTCACTCTGTTCCTTTTTCTGCCCAATGTAATTCTAGCCACCATCTTCCAGTGTTGAATAGAGATATACTCCACGCTGACCTTTCCACCTCCCTAATCTACTGTCTTTGTTTCCACGTTCTCCATCTCTCCCTCCCCTTTTGTATCCACTTTTCATATTCTTCCAAAATGCAATTCAGCAATTAGTGGGCTGCAAGGTAAAAATTAAGGAAGTTTGTCACATGAAACCATTCTGGTTACTTTTTAAAATTCTGATATTAAGTGCTATTTATTGTTCCTTGTTTTGTTTCTTTGTTTTGTTTTCTTATTTATAGAAAGAAAAGTGACTAGGGACATGTATACCAGGTTGGCATTTGAATTGGAAGAAGTAAGGATTAGTATCTTTTAAATGCAAAATGTCTATTAATACTATCATAATTCCAGTTAAGAGTAATGCAAAGCTACAAAAACTGCATTGTGATTCACATTTTTAACTTGCTTCAACTTTGCATCTATACATGTAGTTACTTTAGTAAAGCATTAAAAAACAAGAAGATATTTCTACTTTTGCTAGGCCCTCCCTATAAATTCTATTTTGGGCAACACAGGAAATACCACATAGATACATGCAGACAATTGCACGTATGTACTCATGCCTTGGAAAAGGGAACCTTCAGTTCTCTTTCTACTCACTAGTTCATATAGTTTTATAAGTGTGTGTAAGAGGTTTTGCACAGTAAGTGACCCTCTTGTCTCTGTAGGCAATGTATTACTCATAAGCAATTACAAAGAAGGTAGAGGTAGGAGTTAACACACTACAACTATTTTACTTTAAAATAAATATTATGGGGGCTGAAGAGGGAAGAATCTGGGAACCCTGAAAGGGGCTACCACACACTGGGGCTCCTTTCTAGGCCCCAACAACTCCTCGGGAAGGAGTGAGTTGAGCAAGTAAAGAGCAACCTGCACTTGCCCTGGGCCTCTGGAAACCTGCCAGCAGGAGACTCCACAACTCCCATGAACATGTGAGTTGGCAGGGAGAGATGCTTAGAGAAGTGGTAGGGGCAGAACTCCAGTCAGTGCGGAGCCCAGAGGGTTGGTGTGGGAGCCTCTGTGGTGGAGCATGGCCAAGGATGCCCATCCCTAGGACACTTTAGCCCTAGGGAAACTGTTGGACCTAAACGTTGCAGGGTAGTCTTGCCCATGAGAAGAGGCCAGAACACCCCTCAGTCTACTGCCTTCTCCCGCGGCCCCAGACTGGCTCTGCCTGCTTGTAGTGCAGCCTCAGATGCCCAGGTGGGGTGCCTCCTGGGAGCCCTCATTATACCTCCTCCACTGGCAGACAGTACTTGATCAGTGAAGAGCTCAAGTGGGAGGGGAAGCAGCCCCCGTGGGCATGCACCAGTCTGCCCGTGTCCTCCCCACAACAGCCTCCCTCGTGCCACTTTGCTTGCACGCACTCTCCCATGGCCACCCCCAACCCGTCACATCGTTTTGACAGTGCGTGTGTGCAGAAGGGCCTTGCCTCCCCTTTCCCACTAGCATGAATGTGCGCATGCATCTTCCTGTGCCACAGCTGCCAGCGTCCGTGCATCCCGCCCCCCAATCCCCTGCTGTGCCGCCATTGTCATCAGAGCATTCGCCGGCTCAGAGACCACTAGTCTAGCACCCACCAGCGCCCCGCACTTGCACTGACACTGCTGCCTGTGTGAAAATATGTGGGGAGACCAGTGGACCCGCCCCCACCCCCCAGCAGTAGCTGCCGCCTGTGTGAATCCGCACACAAAGGGCGCGCACAGTCCAGTGCTACCAGTGCCCCACCCCTGTGCTAACACCACTGCCGGGCAAACGCATGCAGGGACACTGGCGGAGCCTGATACCTCCCCCGCCACCACCATGCTGCCACCGCTGCCACTGTGAACACCACCACAGAGGCCGGCACGCCTGCACCTGCAATCTCCATGTTGCAGCCAATGAATGTGCACCCCACCATACTGCCACTGCTGTTGACATGTGCAAACGAGGGTGGATCACACTGCCACCACTCTACGGAGTATGGTGGCTGGCACCACCCATAGGAGTGTTGTGACCAGCGGTCCAGGAAGAATTCGGCCTCTCCAGTGTGGCAAGTTCCTAACATTCAGGGGCCACATATCAAAGCCTGGCCCAATACGACTCCCCAGAATTAGAGCATGCACTTCAGGAGTCCTTAGCTGAGTCTTGGCCCCCTAAAATCCTCCAGAAATGAAGCCAATCGACTGTACTCACCTTATACTACAACCAAACCTCCAAGGACACCAAACAGGATAAAAGAAAAAAAATAACCAACCAAAGGTCAGCAACTTCAAAGATTGAAGGAACATCAGCCCACAAAGATTAGAGATAACCAGTGCAAGAACTCTGGCAACTCAAAAAGCCAGAGTGCCTTCCTACCTCAAAAGGATTGCACTAGTGCCCCAGCAATGGTTCCTAACCAGGATGAGATGGCTGAAATGACAGAAATAGAATTCAGACTATGGATAGGAACAAAGATCATCGACATGAAGGAGAAAGTTGAAACCCAATCCAAGGAATTTAAGGATTACAATAAAACAATGCAGGAGCTGATAGACAAAATGGCTATTATAAGAAAGAACCAAACTGATTTAATAGAGCTGAAAAACACGCTATAAGAATTTCATAATGTAATTGCAAGTTTTAACAGCAGAATTGATAAAGGTGGGCAAAAAATCTCAGAGCTTGAAGACTGGCTCACCAAAATAACTCAGAGAAAAAGAACAAACAATAAAGAAGGATGAACAAAACATCTGAGAAATAAGGGATTTTGTAAAGAGACCCAATCTATGACTCCCGGGCATGCCTGAGAGACAGAAAAATGAAGCAACTTGGAAAACATATTTCAGGATCTCGTCCATGAAAATTGCCCCAACCTCACTAGAGAGGCCAATATTCAAATTCAGGAAATGCAGAGAACCCCTGCAAAATACTACACAAGAAGATCACCCAAGACACATCGTCATCAGATTCTCGAAATGAAAGAAAAAATGTAAAAGTCAACTAGACAGAAAGGGCAGGTCACCTACAAAGGGAATCTCATTGGGCCAGCAGCAGACCTGTCAGTAGAAATCCTACAAGCCAAAAGAGAATGGGGGCCTGTATTCAGCACTCTTAAAGAAAATAATTTTCAACCAAGAATTTCACATCTGGCCAAACTAAGCTTTACAAGCAAAGGAGAAATAAGATCCTTTTCAGAGAAGCAAATGCTTAGGGAATTTGGTACCACCAAACATACCTTACAAGAAGTCCTAAAGGAATTGCTAAATATGGAAAGGAAGACCTTTATTAAACACCATAAAAACACACAAGTACATAGGCCAGTGATACTATAAAGCAACCACATCAACAATTCTACATAATACTCAGCTAACAACATGATGACAGGATCAATACCAACCTTGAATACAAATGAGCTAAATGCCCCAATAAAAAGGCACAGGGTGGCAAGTTGGATAAAGAAGCAAAACTCAAAGGTATCCTATCTTCAAGAGACTCATGTGACATAAAATGACACCCATAGGCTCAAAATAAAGAGATGGAGAAAAATCGACCAAGCAAATGGAAAACAGAAAAAAAGCAGGGGTTATAACCCTAATTTCAGAAAAAAACAGATTTTAAACTAACAAAAATCAAATAAGACAAAGGGCATTACATAATGGTAAAGGGCTCAATTCAAGACCTAACAATCCTACATACATATGCACCCAACACAGGCACACCAAGATACATAAAGAAAGTTCATAGAGAGCTATGAAGAGATTTAGATAACAACACAATAACAGTGGGAGACTGCTACACTCCACTGAGAGTATTAGACATATCAGCAAGACAGAAAACTAACAAAGATATTCGGAACCTTAAATCAACACTTGACAAAATGGACCTAACAGATAGCTACAGAACTCTCCACCTCAAAACAACAGACTATACATTCTTCTCATCTGCACATGGCACATATTCCAAAATTGACCCAAAAATTGAGCATAAAGCAATCATCAGCAAATACAAAAAACATGAAATAACAACAACTACAATCTTGAACCACAGTGCAATAAAAATAGAAATTGATGCTAAGAAACTCACTCAAAACCATATAATTAAATGGAAATGAAACAACCTGCTCCTGAATGACTTCTGGGTAAATAATGAAATTAAGCCAGAAATCAAGAAATTCTTTGAAACGAATGACAACAAACATACAACATATCAGAACCTCTGGGATATAGACAAAGCAATGTTATAAGGGAAGTTTATAGTACTAACCTCCCATATCAAAAAGTTAGAAAGATCTCAAATTAACAACCCAAAACCACATCTAGAGGAACTATAGAAACAAGAGAAAACTAACCCCACAGACAGTAGAAGACAAGAAATAACCAAATTCAAGCTGAACTGAAGGAAATTGAGACATAAAAAACCATACAAAAGAGCAATGAATCCAGAAGGTGGCTCCTTGAAAGAATGAATGAGAAAGATAGACATTTTTTTTTATTTTTTTATTTTTTATTTTATTATTATTATACTTTAAGTTTTAGGGTACATGTGCACAATGTGCAGGTTAGTTACATATGTATACATGTGCCATGCTGGTGTGCTGCACCCATTAACTCGTCATTTAGCATTAGGTATATCTCCTAATGCTATCCCTCCCCCTTCCCCCCACCCCACAACAGTCCCCAGAGTGTGATGTTCCCCTTCCTGTGTCCGTGTGTTCTCATTGTTCAATTCCTACCTACCAGTGAGAACATGCGGTGCTTGGTTTTTTGTCCTTGTGATAGTTTACTGAGAATGATGATTTCCAATTTCATCCATGTCCCTACAAAAGACATGAACTCATCATTTTTTATGGCTGCATAGTATTCCACGGTGTATATGTGCCACATTTTCTTAATCCAATCTATCATTGTTGGACATTTGGCTTGGTTCCAAGCCTTTGCTATTGTGAATAGTGCCGCAATAAATGTACGTGTGCATGTGTCTTTATAGCAGCATGATTTATAGTCCTTTGGGTATACACCCAGTAATGGGATGGCTGGGTCAAGTGGTATTTCTAGTTCTAGATCCCGGAGGAATCGCCACACTGACTTCCACAATGGTTGAACTAGTTTACAGTCCCACCAACAGTGTAAAAGTGTTCCTATTTCTCCACATCCTCTCCAGCACCTGTTGTTTCCTGACTTTTTAATGATTGCCATTCTAACTGGTGTGAGATGGTATCTCATTGTGGTTTTGATTTGCATTTCTCTGATGGCCAGTGATGGTGAGCATTTTTTCATGTGTTTTGTGGCTGCATAAGTGTCTTCTTTTGAGAAGTGTCTGTTCATGTCCTTCGCCCACCTTTTGATGGGGTTGTTTGTTTTCTTCTTGTAAATTTGTTTGAGTTCATTGTAGATTCTGGATATTAGCCCTTTGTCAGATGAGTAGATTGCAAAAATTTTCTCCCATTCTGTAGGTTGCCTGTTCACTCTGATGGTGGTTTCCTTTGCTGTGCAGAAGCTCTTTAGTTTAATTAGATCCCATTTGTCAATTTTGGCTTTTGTTGCCATTGTTTTTGGTGTTTTAGACATGAAGTCCTTGCCCATGCCTAGGTCCTGAATGGTAATGCCTAGGTTTTCTTGTAGGGTTTTTATGGTTTTAGGTCTAATGTTTAAGTCTTTAATCTATCTTGAATTAATTTTTGTATAAGATGTAAGGAAGGGATCCAGTTTCAGCTTTCTACATATGACTAGCCAGTTTTCCCAGCACCATTTATTAAATAGGGAATCCTTTCCCCATTGCTTGTTTTTCTCAGGTTTGTCAAAGATCAGATAGTTGTAGATATGTGGCATTATTTCTGAGGGCTCTGTTCTGTTCCATTGATCTATATCTCTCTTTTGGTACCGGTACCATGCTGTTTTGGTTACTGTAGCCTTGTAGTATAGTTTGAAGTCAGGTAGCATGATACCTCCAGCCTTGTTCTTTTGGCTTAGGATTGACTTGGCGATGCGGGCTCTTTTTTGGTTCCCTATGAACTTTAAAGTAGTTTTTTCCAGTTCTGTGAAGAAAGTCATTGGTAGCTTGATGGGGATGGCATTGAATCTATAAATTACCTTGGGCAGTATGGCCATTTTCACGATATTGATTCTTCCTACCCATGAACATGGAATGTTCTTCCATTTGTTTGTATCCTCTTTTATTTCATTGAGCAGTGGTTTGTGGTTCTCCTTGAAGAGGTCCTTCACATCCCTTGTAAGTTGGATTCCTAGGTATTTTATTCTCTTTTAAGCAATTGTGAATGGGAGTTCACTCATGATTTGGCTCTCTGTTTGTCTGTTGTTGGTGTACAAGAATGCTTGTGATTTTTGTACATTGATTTTGTATCCTGAGACTTTGCTGAAGTTGCTTATCAGCTTAAGGAGATTTTGGGCTGAGACAGTGGGGTTTTCTAGATATACAATCATGTCGTCTGCAAACAGGGACAATTTGACTTCCTCTTTTCCTAATTGAATACCCTTTATTTCCTTCTCCTGCCTAATTGCCCTGGCCAGAACTTCCCACACTATGTTGAATAGGAGTAGTGAGAGAGGGCATCCCTGTCTTGTGCCAGTTTTCAAAGGGAATGCTTCCAGTTTTTGCCCATTCAGTATGATATTGGCTGTGGGTTTGTCATAGATAGCTCTTATTATTTTGAGATACGTCCCATCAATACCTAATTTATTGAGAGTGTTTAGCATGAAGTGTTGTTGAATTTTGTCAAAGGGCTTTTCTGCATCTATTGAGATAATCATGTGGTTTTGGTCTTTGGTTCTGTTTATATGCTGTATTACATTTATTGATTTCCATATATTGAACCAGCCTTGCATCCCAGGGATGAAGCCCACTTGATCATGGTGGATAAGCTTTTTGATGTGCTGCTGGATTCGGTTTGCCAGTATTTTATTGAGGATTTTTGCATTAATATTCATCAAGGATATTGGTCTAAAATTCTCTTTTTTGGTTGTGTCTCTTCCCGGCTTTGGTATCAGGATGATGTTGGCCTCATAAAATGAATTAGGGAAGATTCCCTCTTTTTCTATTGATTGGAATAGCTTCAGAAGGAATGGTACCAGCTCCTCCTTGTACCTCTGGTAGAATTCGGCTGTGAATCCATCTGGTCCTGGACTCTTTTTGGTTGGTAAGCTATTGATTATTGCCACAATTTCAGATCCTGTTATTGGTCTATTCAGAGATTCAACTTCTTCCTGGTTTAGTCTTGGGAGAGTGTATGTGTCGAGGAATTTATCCATTTCTTCTAGATTTTCTAGTTTATTTGTGTAGAGGTGTTTGTAATATTCTCTGATGGTAGTTTGTATTTCTGTGGGATTGGTGGCAATATCCCCTTTATCATTTTTTATTGTGTCTGTTTGATTCTTCTCTCTTTTCTTCTTTATTAGTCTTGCTAGCGGTCTATCAATTTTGCTGATCCTTTCAAAAAAATCAGCTCCTGGATTCATTAATTTTTGAAGGGTTTTTTGTGTCTCTATTTCCTTCAGTTCTGCTCTGATTTTAGTTATTTCTTGCCTTCTGCTAGCTTTTGAATGTGTTTGCTCTTGCTTTTTTAGTTCTTTTAATTGTGATGTTACGGTGTCAATTTTGGATCTTTCCTGCTTTCTCTTGTGGGCATTTAGTGCTATAAATTTCCCTCTACACACTGTTTTCAATGTGTCCCAGAGATTCTGGTATGTTGTGTCTTTGTTCTCGTTGGTTTCAAAGAACATCTTTATTTCTGCCTTCATTTCGTTATGTACCCAGTAGTCATTCAGGAGCAGGTTGTTCAGTTTCCATGTAGTTGTGCGGTTTTGAGTGAGTTTCTTAATCCTGAGTTCTAGTTTGATAAATAATAAAGAGGAAAAGTGAGAAGATACGAATAAATGCAATCAGAAATGAAAAGGGGATAGAAATACAAAAATCCCTCAGAGACTATTACAAACACCCTTATGCACACAAGGTAGAAAACCTAAAAGAAATACATTTCTGAAAACATACAACTTCTGAAGATGGAACCAGGAAGAGACTGAATCCCTGAACAGAACAATAATGAGTTCTGAAACTGAGTCAGTAATAAAGAGCCTAGCAAATAGAAAAAGCCCAAAACCAGATAGATGCATTCACAACGAAATTCTACCAAATGTATAAGGAAGAGTTGGTATCATTTCTGCTGAAACTCTTCTGAAAAAATAAGAAAGAGGTACTCCTTTCTAACTCATTCTATAAGACCAGCATCATCCTGATACCAAAACCTGGCATGGATGCAACAAAAAATAAAACTTAAGGCCAATATCCTTGATGAACATTGATGCAAAAATCCCCAATAAAATACTAGCAAACCAAATTAAGCAGCACATCGAAAAGCTAATCCACACCACAGTCAAGTAGGCTTTATTTCTGGGGGGCAAGATTGGTTTAACATATGCAAATCAATAAATGCTACTTACCATATGTACAGAACTGAAAACAAAAATCACATGATCACTCGATAGATACGGAAAAGGTTTTTTGATGAAATGTAAGATCCCTTTATGTTAAAAACTCTCAAGAAACTAGGAATTGGAGAAACATACTTCAGAATAATAAGAGCCATCTCTTACAAGCCCTTAGGCAACATCATACTAAATGGGCAAAAGATAGAAGCATTCTTCTTGAAACCGGAACAAGATAAGAATGCTCTCTCTCACCACTTCTATGCAACATAGCACTGGAAGTCCCAGCCAGAGCTATCTGGCAAGAGAAAGAAATAAAGGGCATTCAAGCAGGAAGAAAGGAAGTCAAACTATCCCTGTTTGCAGACAATATGATTCTATACCTAGAAAACTCCATAGTCTCTGCCCAAAAGCTCCTTGATTTGATACACCACTTAAACAAAGTTTTAGGATATGAAATCAATGTACAAAAATCAGCTACATTTCGATACACCAACAATATCCAAGCTGAGAGCCAAATCAGAAACACAATCCCATTCACAATTGCCACAAAAAGAGTAAAATACTTAGGAATACAGCTAACCCAGGAAGTAAAAGACCTTTACAATACGAATTAGAAAACACTGCTCAAAGAAATCAGAGACGACACCAACAAATGGAAAAACATCCCATGCTAATGGATAGGAATAATCAGTATTATCAAAATGGCAATACTGCCCAAAGCCATTTACAGATTCGATGCTATTCCTATCAAACTAGCAATGTCATTCTTCACAGAATTAAAGAAAACTATTTTGAAATTCATATGGAACCATAAAAGACTGGAATAGCAAGACAATCCTAAGCAAAAAGAACAAAGTGGAAGGCATAAAATTACCCAACTTAAAACTCTACTACAAGGCAACAATAACCAAAACAGCATGGTATTTCTACAAAAACAGACACACAGACCCATAGAACAGAATAGAGATCCCAGAAATAATGCCAAACACCTACAACTATCTGACCTTTGACAAAATCTACAAAAATAAGCAATGGGGAAAGGATTCCCTATTCAATAGATGGTGCTGGGATAACTGGTTAGCCATATGCAGAATATTGAAAGTGGAACCCTCCTTATACGATATACAAAAATTAACTCAAGTTGGATTAAAGTCTTAAACCTGAAACCAAAATCTATAAAAACTCTAGAAGATAACCTAGGAAATATCATTCTAGACATAAGACCTGACAAAGACTTCATGACAAAGATGCCAAAAGCAATTACAACAAAAACAAAAATGGACAAATGGGACCTAATTGAACTAAAGAACTTCTGCACAGCAAAATAAACTATCAACAGACTTAACAGACTTAAAAGACAATCTACAGAATAAGAGAAGAAAATATTTGCAAACTATACATCCAACACAGGTCTAATATCCAGAATCTACAAGGAATTTAAACATTTTTTTAAAGTTCGGGATTACAAGTACAGGCTTGTTACATAGGTAAACTTGTGTCATGGGGGTTTGTTGTACAGATTATTTCATCACCCAGGTATTAAGCTCAGTACCCATTAGTTATTTTTCCTGATCCTCTTCCTCCTCCCACCCTCTACCTTTTAATAGGCCCCAGTATGTGTTGTTCCCCCTCTATGTGTCCATATGTTCTCATCATTTAGCTCCCACTTGTAAGTGAGAACATGCAGTATTTGGTTTTCTGTTCCTGTGTTAGTTTGCTAAGAATCATGGCCTCCAGCTCCATCCATGTCCCTGCAAAGGGCATGATCTTGTTGTTTTTTATGGGTACGTAGTATTCCATGGTGTATATATACCACATTTTCTTTATCCAGTCTATCACTGACGGGCATTTAGGTTGATTCCATGTCTTTGCTATTGTGAATAGTGCTGCAATGAACTTACACAAGCATGTGTCTTTACAGTAGAATTATTTATATTCTTTTGGGTATATACACAGTAATGGGTTTGCTGGGTCAAATGGTATCTCTGTCTTTAGATCTTTGAAAAATTGCCACACTTCTTTTTGACAATTTACAAGCAAAAAACAAACAACCTCATTAAAAAGTGGGCAAATGACATGAACAGACACTTTTCAAAAGAAGACATAGATGTGGCTGACAAGCATATGAAAAAACCTCAACATCACTGAACATTAGAGAAATGCAAATCAAAACCACAATGAAATACCTTCTCACACCAGTCAGAATGGTTGTTATTAAAAAGTCAAAAAATGACAGATTCTGGTATGGTTGTGGAGAAAAGGTAATGCTTATGCACTGGTGGTGGGAATCTAAACTAGTTCAGCCATTGTGAAAAGCAGTTTGGCCAATTTGTCCAAGAACTTAAAACAGAATCAGCATTTGACCCAGCAATTCCATTGAATCAAATGCTGATTATGTTTTAAGTTCTTGGACTAATTGCCAAACTGTTTTCAACAATACCCAAAGGAATATAAATCATTCTACCATACAGACACTTGCACACCTATGTTCATTGCAGCACTATTCACAATAGCAACGACATGGAATGAACCTAAATGCCCACTGATGATAGACTGGATAAAGGAAATGTGGTACATCTACACCATGGAATAGTATATAGCCATATAAAAGAATGAGATCATGTTCTTTGCAGGGACATGGACGGAGCTGGAGGCTGTTATTCTTAGCAAACTAATGTAGGAACAGAAAGCCAAATACTGCATGTTATTACTTATAAGTGGGAGCTAAACATTGAGTACATATAGACACAAAGAAGGGAACAACAGACTCTGGGGCCTACTTGAGGGTGGAGGGTGGGAGGAGGATGAGGATCAAAAAACTACCTATTGGTTACTGTGCTTATTACCTCATTGATGAAATCATTTGTACACCAAACCACCACAAAATGCAATTTACCTATATAACAAACCTGTACATGTACCCCTCAACCTAAAATAAAAGTTAAAAAAAATGAATAGACAAATCAATCTTGGAATGTTTTCATGATAAAGTCAAGTTAATTACTTTAAATAAAATAAATATTCTGTCTTGCTGTCAGAACCCATGTTTACTGTTTTTTCTTCATTTGTTTGTTTGAGAAGTATGTTTACCATATATATTTTGGGCCTAATTCTTCCATCAAGTGGAGCGGGAACAAGTTGGCAAAAATGAAGGCCTATGTCTTGCCCCAGACAACACTATCAATGTATCCTTTCCAGTTTTCAACGTTCCCAAAGGAGTAAGTGCCAGTCTGGTATAACCAGTAACAATTCTCCTTCAGCATTTTCCTACCTATCACGGCTCCACAAAGGGTCTTTCGACCCCTGTGACCAAATCCTCATTATGATGCTGGAAATTCTATTACCCCACTAGAATTTTGATCATTTTGCTTAATGCTTTGTCCCTATGTAAAGATTCAAATATCCTTCAAGCCAGTCATTACCAAATATACTCTACTATAGATTAAATGAGTTATTCAGGCTTGTCTTGCAAGCTTTGATTTTGTTAAAGAGGGTATGAAGAACTTGAAAACACTGTGGAGAGAAGATGGAATCAGCACTGAAACATACAAGGAGAAAATGAAGGTGGAAATAGAGAGATAAAGGCTATTTTTCTTGTTCATTCACCCAAGAAGCATTTATTGCCAAGCACTGAGGACTTCTAATCTAGGCACAATTAAACTGGTGCTAACGGATGGTACTAACCACTTCTGCATATTTTATTATTTTGTTATTCAGATGTTCTTTTTTAATAGATTTGCTAATTCCAGAAAAAAAAATTTAGTCAAACTAAGTAAAAGTGCCATTTTAGTTTTAACATTTTCACTTGTGCTTATAAATTGAATAAGTCCTCTTATATTTCAAAAAGTAAGATAAAATTAATAGAAAACTAGCATTTATATATGATCAGTGAATACCTTTTCCTAAAGTTGTGTATCTTTTTTTTTGTTCTTGCAGCAAACAGGACTTTGAGTCTACAGATGAGGTAAGTGCAAAGATAGTTGAAAATCGAATATAGTATAATAACAAAGTAGATTCTGATATTTGCAATAATAATATTCTTTCAGTTAAGTACCTTACTAGACTGAAAATGCAGGTAAGTGAAAAAATTTATGGCCATTTTGCCTTTAAAATTATATAAACACTACATATTTATAATAGCTATAAAACTAGTAATTATTCACAAAAAAATTGTTATCAGCTGTCACTTTATGATTTGTCTATGCTTATTGCAATGTTTATTTGAAATGTTCTATTTTTAATTTTTGTGTGTACATAGTAGGTGTATTTATTTATGGGGTACAAGAGATGTTTCACTGACCACATATTCTCTGCTTTAGAAAACTGAAATCTATATGATTAATTAAATAGCAAATGTAGTTTTAATATGCTTCAAAACCTTATATGTGCCATGCCAGTCAGCAACTTAAAGTAAAAATATTTTCAAGTATTAATCTATTACATATGCATATTATCTTAATTGCTTTTAATAGAATAATCAAATAGAGAAAAACCTATTTCAATGCAATAAAAAGCACAATTCCCTCTTTAGTGTTTTTAATCATTTTTTCCAGTGTACTGGCATACTGCATTCATTACAATTATGCAGTAATTCCTAAATTGCCTTTAAGAAATACTTCACTTCAGCTACTCACTTAAAATTAGTTGAAGCTGTTTCAGTGTTGTGGTGGCAACATCATAATCTTCCAAAAGTCACCACAGCTCTATGTAAATTCTCAGTAAAACCTGTAACTCCCTTAATTTTTATTTCCCAAAGTTTTCCTTATTTCAAAAATCAGCTTCTAGAATGTCATATCTGTCACTCAACAAAACTTCCAGTTTTAAAAAATATACAATGAATAAAGTGTGTAAAGGAATTTAATAGACCATTTTGCTTTTAATTTCGTCTTTTTAAAAATAGAAATGGAACTTCTCATTGGTTGCCCAAAGGTTTTCCCTAAAATGCGTGGAATTCAGGATTATTTTTATACTGTTTGTAATATAATTGATTTTTTTAAAATAAGAACTGATAAGGCTATAAATTAAACTCATAGAAACTGTTTCTCAAAAAGTGAATTAGTCTTTTAATATTCCTAAAATATGTCCCATTACACAAAAGTCTGTGGATTGCTGATCTTAAGATTGATATGTATCTGTTCCATGGATAAGCCTTTTTTTCTTACAGTCGGAAGACATTGAATCATTGATTCCTAAAGGATTATCAGAGTTTACAAAACAGCAAATACGCTACATTCTGCAGGTGAGTTGGGGTCAAGAGTGGATGTGTGAAATCAACACTAACAAACAGCTTCCTAGGTTGCTTCCCTTAATTAAGAACAGAAAGTCCCAAATTAAAATCTTATTTCCTAAGAGTTGAGGATTCTTTGGTTAGACAAGGGATATATTTCAGTTTGGTGAGATCACCAAAAATTATATTGAATCACTAGCATTTGGGAAAACATTCTCGAAATATTATTCCCTTCTGTAGAATGCCCTTATTCACTCCTCAGCGCTTTAGTACAATCTGACTCTATCTCATAGTTTTTGCCTTCCTCTTCTCCATTCCACCCTCTTCCCTACCACTAGCCAGACTGATAAAGAAGAAAAGAGAGAAAAATCAAATAGACACAATAAAAAATGATAAAGGGGATGTCACCACTGATCCCACAGAAATACAAACTACCATCAGAGAATACTATAAACACATCTACGCAAATAAACCAGAAAAACTAGAAGAAATGGAAAAACTCCTAGAAACATACACCCTCCCAAGGCTAAACCAGGAAGAAGTTGAATCCTTGAAAGGACCAATAACAAGTTCTGAAATTGAGGCAGTAATTAATAGCCTACCAACCAAAAAAAAAGAAAAAAGAAAAGAAAAAGCCCAGGAGCAGATGGATTCACAGCCAAATTCTACCAGGGGTACAAAGAGGAGCTGGTAACATTCCTTCTGAAACTATCCCAAACAATAGTAAAAGAGAGACTCCCCCCTAACTCGTTTTATGAGGCCAGCATCATCCTGATACCAAAATCTGGCAGAGACAGAACAAAAAAGGAAAATTTCAGGCCAATATCCCTGATGAACGTCGATGCAAAAATCCTCAATAAAATACAGCAAACTGAATCCAGCAGCATATCAAAAAGCTTATCCACCATGATCAAGTCAGCTTCATCGCTGGAATGCAAGGCTGATTCAACATATGCAAATCAATAAACATAATCCATTACATAAACAGAATCAATGACAAAAACCACATGACTATCTCAATAAAGGCAGAAAAGGCCTTTGATAAAATTCAACACCGCTTCATGCTAAAAACTCTCAATAAACTAGGTATTGATGGGATGTATCTCAAAATAATAAGAGCTATTTACGACAAACCAACAGCCAATATCATACTGAATGGACAAAAGCTGGAAGCATTGTCTTTGAAAACCGGCACAAGACAAGGATGCCCTCTCTCACTACTCCTATTCAACATAGTATTGGAAGTTCTGGCCAGGGCAACAAGGCAAGTGAAAGAAATAAAGGGGATTCAAATAGCAAGAGAGGAAGTCAAATTGTCTCTGTTTGCAGACGACATGATTGTATATTTAGAAAACCCCATCGTCTCAACCCAAAATCTCCTTAAGCTGATAAGCAACTTCAGCAAAGTCTCAAGATACAAAATCAATGTGCAAAAGTCACAAACATTCCTATACATCAATAATAGACAAACAGAGGGCCAAATCTTGAGTGAACTCACATTCACAATTGCTACAAAGAGAATAAAATACCTAGGAATATAACTTATAAGGGATGTGAAGGACTTCTTCAAGGAGAGCTACAAACCACTGTTCAAGGAAATAAGAGAGGACACAAACAAATGGAAAAACATTCCATTGTTATGGATAGGAAGAATCGATATCTTGAAAATGGCCATACAGCTGAAAATAATTTATAGATTCAGTGCTAACCCCATCAAGCTACCATTGACTTTCTTCACAGAATTAGAAAAAATACTTTAAATTACATATGGAACCAAAAAAAGAGCCCATATATCCAAGACAATCCTAAGCCAAAAGAACAAAGCTGGAGGCATCATGCTACCTGACTTCAAACTATACTACAAGGCTTCAGTAACAAAAACAGCATGGTACCGGTACCAAAACAGAGAGATAGACCAATGGAACAGAACAGAGGCCTCAGAAATAATGCCACACATTTACAACTATTGGATCTTTGACAAACCTTACAAAAACAAGCAATGGGGAAAAGATTCCCTGTTTAATAAATAATGCTGGGAAAACTGGCTAGCCATATGCTGAAAACTGAAACTGGACCCCTTCCTTACACTTTATACAAAAATTAACTCAAGATGGATTAAAGACTTAAAGGTAAGACCTAAAACCATAAAAACTCTAGAAGAAAACCTAGGCAATACCATTCAGGACATAGGCATGGGGAAGACTTCATGACTAAAACACCAAAAGCAATAGCAACAAAAGCAAAAATTGACAAATGGGATCTAATTAAACTAAAGAGCTTCTGCACAGCAAAAGAAACTATTATCAGAGTGAACAGGCACCCTACAGAATGGGAGAAAATGTTTGCAATCTATCCATCTGACAAAGGGCTAATACCCAGAATCTACAAAGAATTTAAACAAATTTACAAGAATCAAACAAACAACCCCATCAAAAAGTGGCCAAAGGGTATGAACAGACATTTCTCAAAATAAGACATTAATGCAGCCAACAAACATGAAAAAATGCTCATCATCACTGGTCATTAGAGAAATGCAAATCAAAACCACAATGAGATACCATCTCACGTGAGTTAGAATGGCGATCATCAAAAAGTCAGGAAAAAACAGATGCTGGAGTGGATGTGGAGAAATAGGAACGCTTTTAGATTATTGGTGGGAGTGTAAATTAGTTCAACCAGTGTGGCGCTTCCTCAAGGATCTAGAACTAGAAATACCATTTGACTCAGCAATCCCATTACTGGGTATATACCCAAAGATTATAAATCATTCTACTATAAATACACATGCACACATATGTTTATTGCAGCACTATTCACAATAGCAAAGACTTGGAACCAACCCAAATTGCCCATCAATGATAGACTAGATAATGTGGGACATACGCACCATGGAATACTATGCAGCCATTAAAAAGGATGAGTTCATGTCCTTTGCAGGGACATGGATGAAGCTGGAAACCATCATTCGCAGCAAACTGACACAGAAACAGAAAACCACACACCTCATGTTCTCACTCATAAGTGGGAGTTGAACAGTGAGAACACATGGGAACATCACACACTGGGGCCTGTCAGGGGGTGGGGGGCTAGGGGAGGGATAGCATTAGGAGAAATACCTAATGTAGATAGATGACAGGTTGATGGGTGCAGGAAACCACCATGGCACGTGTATACCTATGTAACAAACCTGCACGTTCTGCACATGTATCCCAGAACTTAAAGTATAATAAAAAAAGAAAACTCTAGAAAAGAAGGAAAACTTATTGTATTTACCATATTTTTGCTTACAATGCTATATCTTCCTTCTTAATATTCCAAATTCTTTCTTTTATGATTTTCTTCTCTTTAGACAACTTCTTTTAGCTATTCTTTAAGGGTAGGTCTGCTAGTAACAAATTATTTTCATTTTCCCTCATCTGAAAATGTGAATTTCCCTCCATTCCTAAAGGATAATTTCACTGCATATAGAATTTACAGTTGACAATTATTTTCTTTTAGTACTTAAAAAATAGTATCCTAGTTCCTTCTGGGCTTCATGATTTGTAATGAGAAATCTGTTGTCATTTGAATTGTTATTCCCAATAATTAATGTTTTTCTTGCTGCTTTGAAAATTTTTAGTTTGTCTTTAGTTTTAAGAAGTTTGACTCTGATTTGTCTGGTAATGGATTTCTTTGGGTTTATATTGTTTGGGATATGCTCAGCTTCTTGAATATGTATGTTACCAGGTTTTACTAATTTGGGAAACTTCTCAGCCATAATTTTTTTGAATATTTTTTCAGCTCCATCCTCTTTCTCCTTTCCTTCCAGGACTCTGAACATGAAAGCTAGATATGTGGTGTACACCCACAAACCCTTAAGCTCTGTTTAATTTTTTCTAATCTATTTGTTTCTGATATTCAGATTATATACTTTATTTTATTCTATCTTTAAGTTCATTAATTCTTTCCTCTGTTCTCTCCATTCTGCTTTTTAGCCCACTCCTTGAGAGCTTTGTTGTTTTGGTTTGGTTTTTGTTTCTTTGTCTTGTTACTGTCCTTTTCAGTTCTAAAATTTCCATTTAGGTATTCTTTATGTCTTCTATTTATTTGCTGAGACTTTCTATTTTGTCATTGAGACAATGTGTTTTTACAGTCTCCTTGCAACTTCTTGTTGAAGTATTTATGATGGTTGTTTTATACACTTTATCAGATAATTCTAACATTTCTATTATCTTGATGTTGTCATCAATTAAGTGTTTTTTCTTATTGGTTGAGATTTTTGTTGTTCTTGGAATTATGAGTGATTTTCAATTGACCCTGAACATGTCTGATCTTGTTTGATCTCAGAAGCTAAGCAGGATTGAGCCTGGCTAGTACTTGGATGGGAGACCTGGCCATTTTTATGTTGTGACTCTCTGGGTCTCATTCAAATATTCAAATATCAGAGAAAGTGTGTGCACTACCTATTACTGCCAGCTGGTGGTGGAAGTTGAGGTTCCCCCACTCAGCTTCTCTTGATGCGATAGGGTGAAAGCCCAAGCTCCCTTCACAGTCTCAACTGACATCACAGTGCATGGAATTTCATTTTTGGCCAGTAGGAATGAAAGCACCATTCTTCACTCTGTCTTTTCTGACACCATCCCAGTGAATGGTGTTGTGTACCTCCCTAGAGCCTGACAAGGGGGCAGTCTAAGCTCTCTTCTTGGCCTTTGGTGGTCCGTGTGGAAGTAGAGTTGCAATTTCTTCTGTGGTGTTTGGCTAAGATAGAGTGGTTACTATCTAAAAGTTTTCTGTCCTGCTAGGCTGACCCTTTCATGGTCCTTTGGTTAGAGAGAGAAGGCTTTTCTCAGGACTTTTGTTGTCCATTGATGTAACTAGATCACCAGCTTGCCCAACACTGATCTAATATATGAAGCAAAAAGAAAATCCAGGAACTCACTGCTGTGTCATTTCTCAGGTCCCAAGATTCCTAACCAATCATTTCTCTTTTCACCAATTTGGGTCTTTTTATATTTGTTTTATATATAATGTCCAGGGTTTTTAGCTGCAATTAACAGGAAGGCTAGGGAAAAGTATTTTTTTTCTTTTTTCTTTCTTTTTTTTTTTTGTGAAGCAACAAAAGTAGAGATTTATTGAAAATGAAAGCACACTCCACAGGGTGGGAGTGGGCTGAGCAATTGGCTCAAGTGCACAGTTATATAATTTTATGTGGTTTAAATGTCCTCTAGAGGTTTCCCATTGGTAACTTGGTGTACACTCTATGTAAATGAAGTAGTGGCCCGTTATCAGTCGGATTGGTTGCAGAAAGTGACCAATCAGAGGCTGAAGTTACAAAGTTAAACCTTAAACAACGTCTGATTGGTTGTGGAAAGTATTTTTACTCCATCTTCCCAGAAGCTGAAGTTGTCTGTTTTTTAAACCATTTTTCTTTAAAGAAATAAGAATAATCTAGTAAAAGAGTTTCCCCTCTCTTTAAAATTTGAGATAAGCCAGGTGCAGTGGCTCACACCTGTAATCCCAGCACTTTAGGAGGCCAAGGCTGGTGGATCACTTGAGGTCAGGAGTTCGAGACCAGCCTGGCCAACACAGTGAAATCCGTTCTCTACTCAAAATACAAAAATTCACCAGGTGTGTTGGTGCATACCTGTAGTCCCAGCTACTTGGGAGGCTGAGGTGGAAGAATTGCTTGAACCCAGGGGGCAGAGATTGCAGTGAACTGAGATCATGCCACTACACTCCAGCCTAGGCGACAGAGTGAGACTCTGGTAAAAAAACAAAAACAAAACAAAAAAAACCAAAAATATTTAGATAGCTCTATACTTTAAAGTTAAACTTAATTATAATTATATTCTTCTCACCTCAGGCAAAATTCAGGCAGTTGGCAATACACTTAGGGAGATTCATTTTATTATTTGATTATTGACTGTCTCATCTCTTCTAATCTTTTAAATAAAGAATAATGTAAAAATTAAATTTTGCTGATAGAATTCTACTTTGTGACAAAGATGATACTTTATCATGGAAAAAATAATAAATATTTGTTATAAATACTAGCTATGCTATCTTCAGGAATATTATTTGGATTACTTAAACACACTATTGACAAAATGCCTTATATCACCTTTCTAATTTGCCATATCAAAGTAAAATTATTAATAAGTTTGCTAGTAGGAAAAAAAAAACTTTCACTTATATTGCCTATTTTCAAATGTTAATAAAACTAAACCATTAATCCTTTCTTCCTGCAGATGAGGGGTATGTCTGATAAGTCACTCCGACTAGTGCTGTCCACATTTAGCAACATACGGGAGGAGCTTGGACATCTTCAAAATGATATGACAGTAAGATTTATTTTGATTTTTTCCAAAGCCTTTCTAGTTACTAGCTTCCTAATACAGAAATAAAGATGTCCAGTATATGTTTTTAAAATTTAATATAGCACAATATTATGCTTATTCAGACAAAGCTAAATTATTTTCTTCAAACAGTTAATTGGCATTGAGAGAGGAGAAAAGAGGTATCCAAAGTATAAATGAAAGAATGTTGGATGTGCACTTATCATTTAGTTTACCACTAAGGCAATTTAATGCTTAAAGCCAGAGAGTCATCTGCAAAGTTAAAATAATCTGACTCATTGGAGGTAAATTCCCCCTTTTTCATAATTATAAAGCATACTCTGAATTTCCATTCAAATATAATAACTTGAAAACATTTTTCTCCAAAAAATTAATTTTTTTCCATTTTCTATTTTAATTGGTGTTCTTGGTGCCATCAGCTAGATACATTCAGAATGCTTTCCACACATTGAATAATGCCTTGAGGACTTTGGAGTAGTTTTGTTGTTTCTGGGTTATGATGAACATATTTAGACTCTAATTTAAAAATTTACCACTCGCTGGGATTAACGAGGACTCTTTGTAGATTGGAGGAAAACATTAAAACATTTCAGAGGGTTGTGCTTCATTTCATGTATAGTTAGTCCATCAAAATGTCTCTTTCAATGAAGGTTTTAGAAGTTTCAATCATTTCCTATCCCGTATTTTCTTAACTTTTAAGAATTCTGCTTTATTAAGCAAGTACAAATGAAACAAGTGCTTATTTAAATCTTCCAAGGTAAGCAAGTCTTTGTATTATGTGACTGTTAAGTTTTTGCAATTCTGAATCATAATAAATAATTTATGCTTCTAGTCACTGGAAAATGACAAGATGAGACTTGAGAAAGATTTATCATTCAAAGACACTCAATTAAAAGAGTACGAAGAACTCTTGGCATCAGTGAGAGCAAATAATCACCAGCAGCAGGTAAACTGATGCTTTTATTGGTGTTAATCTACATTGATAGCTTTTCATATGCACAATTACTGGCACATTGGAGTTATGAGATATAATCAAGACAGAATTAAATATGATGGAAAAATTTGTTCATATGAGAATTGAGTGGCTTTGGGTATTTCTAATGGCTGAAAGCCCTCTCAGAAAAACAGATAATCTTATCTATTTTAGATATAAAGTACATATGGGACACAATTATTTGTCTTGTTGGGTGACCAGAATTGTAGAAATACTAAAAATCTAGGTTCATGCATTTATTTAATGTACTAACATGTCAATGAGAAAAGCTGTTGTAGACCTTAATACATGTTTGTGCAATAAATAAATGACTGAAAAAACTCTAGATGAATTCTCTGGATGTCTGAGCAGAGAGAATTCCTAGGAAATTGTAAGTAGTCTCTAAGGATTACCCTCTTCCTGATCTTTACTCCTATGGCTGTCCCAAATTCTTGCTCAGTTACTAGTTGTCATGTAAATAATCAGGCATATGGTCGTTTCTGTGCCTACTAGAAAGCAGGGTACAGTATTGTCACAGAGTAGCAAGAGTCTGATTGTTAAATTGAGACATTATAAATTCATCTAGTCATGATTCCCTCTCTCACAAAATAGATGAGTGAGACTAGAGGCAACACTATAATATCTTACATGGGTGACTTAATGTACCATCTAAGACCCAGAGTATAAGAAAACTGGGCATAGGAAAATATTTACTTGATTCAATTGAATGAATCAATAAAAAGAACACTCCCTCACCAAAAACAAAATGCATTTGTCTTATGTACTTGTGTCTTCTTTACAGCAAGGACTTCAAGACTCAAGTTCAAAATGCCAGGCATTGGAAGAAAACAATCTCTCTCTTCGACATACACTATCAGACATGGAATACAGACTAAAAGAACTGGAATATTGTAAACGTAATTTAGAGCAAGAGAATCAAAACCTTAGAATGCAGGTATTAAAACTTCCTTTTAAATATACAGTATTACCTTAGTTACATCATTGTAATCCTAGCATTTAGAAAACATATGGACTGCTTTCCCTCACATACTGTTAGATCTTAATCACTGACATTTGAGCTTTATAATGCAGTTCCTGAAAATCACTTTCATTATTTCAATGTCTTATTTAATCATGTGGTTTTCATCTAATAACAATCCTTGTAACATAACATGTATTTTCTTCAAAACAATCCAATTACAGATAGTTATTTTGCCTTCTGTAGGTTTCTGAGACTTGCACAGGCCCAATGTTGCAGGCTAAAATGGATGAGATTGGCAACCACTACACGGAGATGGTAAAAAACTTGAGAATGGAGAAAGATAGAGAGATCTGCAGACTGAGGGTATGTTGATCCTACATTGCATAAATACACAGGTCAGCACAAACTTTCTAGCAAGATAATGATGGCTTCAAGTTTAAAGCTACCAGAAAAAATTAGCTGAAGGTAGAGTTTTAGAAATATGTCATGTATTCATTTGTTTTAAATACATTACTGTATCTAAAATATAACTGTTAAATGATTTTCTAATTTAGCTTAATTTCTTCTAGGAAAGTAAAAGAAGATATTCATTTCAGTGGTTTGGTTTTGGTTTTTATTAATTTATTTTTTGGGATAGATGGAGGACTCTTCATGATCTTGCCTAAAGCATGCTTATGTAGGCAAAAGCAATATATGAAATTACTCAACAGAGCCATAGTTAGATTTGTAAAAATTCTCACTTAATTTCGAGGGATGATGAATAGCAAGGACTTTGTCAAGCATGAGGAGGAAAACAGTGTTAAGTTTTAGGTACCTATAGTTGACATCAAAATTAAGGTGATATTTATAAGTATATATTGCCTTAACTTGTAATTCTAGGTTGAATTTACTTAATCTAACCCTTATTTTACTGATTCCTAAAGGTAGTAAAATATACTTAAATATTTTAATAAACAAAATAATCACAAATTTGTCTCTCCAAACATCACTGTATAATTTTTACCAAAAATCAAAATGAAACAAAATATAATTTGTTTTCCAAACCTACCAATACTTCTAGCAGATTTCCTCCACTGATTTCTTTTCCATTCCAACATTACTAACAGCACTTCTACCTAAGCTACACACATATGAGGTAAAGAGGGAAATGGACAAGATTTGTAGTCAGAAGACCTGTTTTGGAGTTGCAGCTATGTTACTGCGTGACTGTGTCATTTAACCTCTCTGGAGCCCATTATCTGTTTTGTAAATGAAGATTATAATAATGCTTATTTCATGGGACTGCTGTGAGAACTGAGATAATTCATGCAGGAGGAATATTTTGTGAACTGAAAATCAGAATATAATAGTAGTAATTTGTTATTGCTATTTCCTTAATTATTATTTCAAGGACTCTAAAGTGCCTGTTTTCTTAGCTTTACTTTAAATTTTGTGGCCTAAGACTGTTACGTAGATAATGTTTAGTCCTACATAGCAAAGACACCTTAAAAAAAGGAGAAATTTGTAATTGGCATTTCATTTCATATTACATACTCATGAAATTCTTCGAACGTTTATGACTATTGGTATTTTACTTTCATTTCATAACTGTGTGAGTTTGTGTCACTTAACCTCCCTGGAACTCAGTTACACATTTTCTATATGAAGATTATAATAATATTTATTTCTTTTTAAATCCTTAGTCCCAATTAAACCAGTACCATAAAGATGTTTCAAAGAGAGAAGGAAGTTGTAGTGACTTCCAATTTAAGCTTCATGAACTGACAAGCTTGCTGGAAGAGAAGGATTCCCTCATAAAGCGTCAGTCAGAGGTATAAAAGGAAGGGGTGGGGATGGAGAAAAGTAATACAACTTAGTACTGTAGTACTGTAGGATAAATACTTCCCATGGACTAGAAAAGGACACATATCCAAGAGTCACTTTATTTAATGAAATAAAATGTAGGTGCAAGTGAGGAAGTAGAATATACATATTTCAGGAGACACAATTCAAATGAAAGTTACAATTGAAGCAAAAAATAAGTGCTGTTATACATTTAATATTTTTAAGACATTGATTTTATATTTCATTAGCAGTGAAATTCCCAGTAGACTGTGACCTCCTTACTACATTATGAGCTGCTTCATTAAAGCATGTGTTATATTCCTCCTTGTATCTGTAGCATGTAGCCCATGACCTGGCATTCAATAGGTACTGAAGGAATTGTCAAAAATTATGGGTAATATTGTATTGCTGTTATGGAGCAAATGGTGCTTGTAGTAACATTCATTGATAAACTCTCTCTTAAGAAACTATATCTGCTTATATATTGAAGTTTCAATACTTTTCTTCTATGGATATACTTTTCAGGCTTTTCAGAGCAAAAACTTTCACATCCTCATCCTGAGAACCACGCCCATTCAATCTCAAGTTATCCTCCAAATTTAGATATCCTGTATCAGTTGCAGGTTCCTGCACCGGCATATAATATAACTTATTAGGTACTGTGAAGCAACACTAGGTGATATTCAACAAGTGGGATTAGAACATTATTACGTCAAGGCTAAAAAGGGGTAAAAGGGAGGGGGTATAATCATTGTTAGTAACCCTTCTAAATGATTAAATATATTTATTATCTCATGTTTCTACTTTCCATCAAATGATTATATTATCTTTTATTTGTAAGGAACTCTCCAAGTTGCGGCAAGAAATATATTCCTCTCATAACCAACCCTCCACTGGTGGAAGGACTACTATTACCACTAAAAAGTAATGTATTTTTAAATGAAATTTGAATATAAAAATTATGATCATATAATCCAAGTTATTTCATGTTTAATTGGTATATACAAGCTAGACAGAGTTTGGTGTTTTCTGCTGGCCAGTTATTCTACTGAAGAATGAATATTCACAAAAAGACATCACTATTGTGGTCAAAAAAATCCTGAAGCACATCTTTCCTGAATTTACAATATATTAATTACCTTGGAAGTGAAAAACAAATAATTGTTTTTTTAACCAACCACATTAGTTAGGACTCTTTCTGTTTCATGTGACAAGAGACCCAATGTAAACTGGGACTTTTTAAATTCACTTAAATGGGGTTACTTGGTATCCAGATGGATTTGTGTGTTCAAAATATGCCTTTATAAATATGTCTTTCTTTATATCTTGGCTCTGCTCTTTCCTGTGTAGACATCTTAATCAGGTAAGGTCTACCCTCACGGTAGCAATATGACCACAAATTACATTCCAGCCATTTAGCAAAACCAAATATAAAGTAATTATGAATAGCTTCAGCAGAAGTCTATTTTGGATATTTCATATAAATGAAATAATACAACATATAGTCTTTTGTGTCTGGATTTTTCATTTTGCATAATGTTTGCAGGATGCAAGCATGATTTAGCATGAGTCAAGACTTCATTCCTTTTGGTTGCTAAATAATATCCAGTTGTATGGATATACATTTTATTTATTGATTAATCAGTTGGACATTTGGGTTGTTTTCAATTTTTGGCTATTGTGAATAATGCTGCTGTGAACGTCTGTGTACAAGTGTGTAAGGTACATGTATTCATTTCTTTTGAGTATATACCTAGGAGTGGAATTGATAGGTCACATGATAACTCTATGCTTAAGGAATTGCCATACTGTTTTCTAAAGCAAAAGCACCATCATACATTCCTAGTAGTGTATGACGGTTCCACTTTCTCCCCATCCTCGTTGCCATTTGTTATTGTTCATCTCTTGGATTATGGCCATCCTAGGTGGTGGAAAGTGGTATCCAATTGGAGTTTTGATTTGTATTCCCTAATAACTAATGTTTTTTAGCAATTTTTATGTGCTTATTGGCCATTTATACATCTTGTTTGAAGAAATGTCCATTCAATTTTTTTCCATTTTTTAAGTGAGTTGTCTTTTTATAGTTGAATTGCAAGAGATTTTCACATGTTCACAAGTCCCTTATCAGAGACAAGATTTGCAAATATTTTCATCAATTCCATGGGTTGTCTTTTCACTATCTTGAGAGTATAATATGCAGCATAAGTATTTAATATAGAAAAAAATCCAATTCATCTATATTTTTTCTTGCTTGTGCTTTTGGTATTATATACAAGAAACTGTTGACTAACCCAAGATCATAAATTTTACATTCATAAGTATTTTGTCTTATATTAATATAAACTGTCTTCTGGTTACTAATTGTATGAAATATCTTTTTCTGTCCTTTCATTTTTGACCTATTTGTGTATTTGATTCTAAACTGTGACTCTTGTAAACCACACATGGTTGTATCTTTTTATACATTCTGCCAATCTCTGCTTTTAGCTGGAATATTTAATGCACTTACATTTAATGTAATTCATAAGTTAGAATTTACATTAGCTATTTTGCTATTTGTTTCTATGTCTTATGTTTTTTGTTCTTCTGTTCCTCCATTCCTGCCTTCTTCTGTGTAAAATATTTTCTACAGTAACATTTTAATTCCATTTTAGTTACTTTTACTATATTTTCTGAGTTTTTCCCCTTAGGTTTCCCCCAGAAATTTAATTAATATTTACCTGTATAGTTACCTTTACTGGTGATCTTTATTTCTTCAAATGGATTTGGGATGCTGTATAGAGTCCTTAAATTTCAGCCTGAAGGACTCCTTTAGTATTTCTTGTAGGACTCCCTTTAGTATTTCTTGTAGAACAGGTTTTGCAGTGACAAATTCTTTGGGTTTTTGCTTGTATGGGAATATATTGCTTTTCCTTCATTTTTGAAGAATGGTTTTGCTGGATAAAATAATTCTCAGCTGACAGTGTTTTTTTGTTACTTGGAATATGTCATCCCATTGCCTTCTGGCCTCTATAATTTCTGATGAGAAATCAGTTGATAATTTTTAATTGAGGATCCCCCTGACATGTTTCTTTTTTACTGCTTTCAAGATTATTTTTTTCTATGGCCCTTGACTGTTTGATTATTATGTGTCAAGGTTTGGATCTCTTATTTTTCACTATTTGGCATTTGCTGAGCTTCTTTGATGTGCAGATTGATATTTTTAATCAAATCTGGGAAGTTTTCAGACATTTCTTCAGCTATCATTCCTGCCACTTTCCTCCCTCTCCTTGTGGAGTCCCCATAAACAGAACAGAATGTTCTGAGGCTCTGTTTATTTTTCTTCATTCTTTTTTCTTTCTGTTCCTCAGAATAGATAAACTCAACGGACCTTCTTTGCAATTTGTTGATTCTTTCTTCCATTTGCTTACATCGGCTGTTGAGAAATTTAAATCTAGTTATTATCTTTTTTACCTCAGAATTACTGTAGTTTCTCTTAAAAGTAATTTCTCTTTCTTTAATAATGTTCTTTATTCCATAAGCCACAACTCTCATCCTTTCCTTTAGTTCTTTAGTTCTTTGAGCATACTTAAAATAGCCAATTTAAAGGCTATGTAAATGCAACATCTGGCTTCTTAATGGATAGTTTCAAGTGATTTTTTCCATGATAGGCAATATTTTCTTGTTTCTTTGCATGTCTTATAATTTTTTATTGAAAACGTGACATTGAAAATAATATAATGTGGTAACTCTGGAAATTAGATACTCCCTCCTGCCAAGGTGTTCATTGTTGCTATTATTTGCTGTTGATGTTATTGTCTTTTGCTTAGTGGCTTTTCTGATTTAATTCTATAAAGTCTGTATTCTTTTCATATGTGGTCACTGAAGTCTCTGCTCATTTATCTTAGTGGTCAGTTAACATTTAAACAGAGGTTTCGTTACAAACATGAAACTAGTAAGTCTCCTAGTTTTCACTGAGAGGCTCTTTGTCTGTGTTTGGACACCTCTTCAATGTTCTGGTAGGCAATTTATAGCTCGTCCTTAGCCCCCAGTTCCTGCTTACACAGAGTTTTAAGGTTAGCCAGTACTGAGGGCTCAGGATTTTCTCAGGTCTTTCCTTCACATGCGTACAGCCTTGGGCATGTACAAAGCCCTACACATGCCTGTGGCTTTCTAGATTCCCAGGAACATATAACAAATTTTCAAAGCCCACTATGGACAATTTATTTCTCAGTTTTTCCTTTTATCATTTTTGGTCAATTTCTTGTCTGCCTGAACTATTATAGCCACCTCAGGTAGTTGTGATATTAAACAATTTCCACACATTATTTTCGACAAATGTTCCCAGGAAAAAGGATTTGCAAATTGGTTGAGCTACGAGTCAAGTTTTAAAAGGCATCCTTGCAAGTGGAGTTTTCCACAGAATCAACAGACAAATCAAACAATGACAATTATAACGACAATGTGGCTTTGAAGGAGCTCTAACCTTGTTTTGTCTTCTAGTTGCTGCCAGGCTCCTGGGTTTTACCCAGATTGTTTTAAGGGTCGGGCGCGGTGGCTCACGCCTGTAATCCCAGCACTTTGGGAGGCCGAGGTGGATGGATCACGAGGTCAGGAGATTGAGACCATCCTGGCTAACATGGTGAAACCCCGTCTCTACTAAAAATACAAAAAAAAAATTAGCCAGGCGTGGTGGCGGGCACCTGTAGTCCCAGCTACTCGGGAGGCTGAGGTAGGAGAATGGTGTGAAAACAGGAGGTGGAGGCTGGGCGCGGTGGCTCACGCCTGTAATCCCAGCACTTTGGGAGGCCGAGGCGGGCGGATCACGAGGTCAGGAGATCGAGACCATCCTGGCTAACACGGTGAAACCCGGTCTCTACTAAAAATACAAAAAATTAGCCAGGCGTGGTAGCGGGCGCCTGTAGTCCCAGCTACTCGGGAGGCTGAGGCAGGAGAATGGCGTGAACCCGGGAGGCGGAGCTTGCAGTGAGCCGAGATCGAGCCACTGCACTCCAGCCTGGGCGACAGAGCGAGACTCCGTCTCAAAAAAAAAAAAAAAAGAAAACAGGAGGTGGAGCTTGCAGTGAGCCAAGATCGCACCACTGCACTACAGCCTGGGTGACTGAGCAAGACTCCGTCTCAAAAAAAAAAAAAAAAAAGAAAAAAAAAGATTGTTTTAAAATTCTATTGCATAGTTGGAGAGACAGAGATGAGAATAGAACAATTTCAAATGCCACAAATCTTGCTGATTTAGCTGTTTTTCCTAAATAAATGCTCTCTGATGGCTGTAAAAGTTTATTAATTTTGAGAGTCCTGATAAAGTTAATTTTGATTTTTTTTGGCCAGATTTCCTTTTTCTTTTATGGCATAGAGCATTTCTGGAGGTTGTTGTATATTTTCACTGACATCGTCTTCCATTGCTTCCTTAAGCATGGTTTTTTTTTTAGTTCTTTGTATTCTCACTATGTTGCCCAGGCTGGCCTCAAATTCCTGGTCTCAAGCAATCATCCCATGATGACCTCTCAAAGTGTTGGGGTTACAGGCATGAGCCACTGAGCCCAGCCCTATAAACATATTTATTATAGCTACTTTGAAGTCTTTATCTTCTAAATACACCATCTGGTCCTCTTTGAAAGTAGTTTCTGGAGAGAGGGACAAGATGGCCAAGTAGACACATCCAGGAAGTACTTCTCCCACCACAAAAGACCAAAATATCTAATAAACAAACCAGCAAATTCTCCACTATCTGTTTGTACTTCAAACAGATCTTTGGAGAGAAAACACTGAGATTTGATAGGTAACACAGATACTAAGGCTGAATAGGGAGAAAGCTGGGAAAACTGCATTGGTGTGCCAAGCACCAGGATTAGTTCCTGGTCCTGAACACCTCCTAAGGAATGGGTGAGTGAAGTGACAGCAGGGCAACCCACTTTCACCATGTACCTCTGGCATCCTAGCTACAAGAGATCTCACGACTCTTGCAGTCATTTCAATTGTCAGGAGGATCTGCCCAAAGAATAGACAAAGACAGAGCTCTAGCCTGCAAGGACCCCAGGGGGTTTTACATGTGGAACAGCTGCAACAAAATGTGGCCATAGGCACCCATTCCCCCAAGGCTCTCTGGACACATCTGTTCTGCATGTCTTCCTGTCCACAATCCCTACAAGGCTCTTGCCTGGCTGATTCTGCAACTGTGTTCACACAGCACAGCCTCCACTGATTGGCCTGACAGTCTTGCCAGTGGCCCTGCTGGAGTGCTTTCCCCACAGCCTGGGAACACTTCAGCTCTCCTAGCACAACAGGTGCCTGATCCCAAGGAGGTAGAGGACAAAGCCACAGGCATGGTTCCAATGCCCCAAGGTTGCAGCACACACTCAGGAGTTCTGAGTTGAGATTTTTGCCAGAACTCAATCTGGGGAGGAGCCCCCAGTCTCAATACACTGAGTGTTAGGTGTGAGTTCATAGGCCAGTGCAGAAGCAGGGCACACCTCTGTCTCCAGGGCCTGTCCAGGAAGGGTGAGGCCTGTCTGCTAGACAAAATCTCTGCCTGAGAGAGCCCCATGGCCTAGAACATCTAACAAATGAAATGTGGATGCAGTGCCAGTGATCAAGTGGGGCTACCCTAAGGCCTGGGAATGGACCTGGCTAGGGTGTCATCTCTCTCCCCTGGTCCCCACAGAGTACCACTGCAAATGTGCAGAAATATAAAAAAGCCACAGAGCAGAGTAATACTCTCTGCCAACCATTACTCATCTACTCGATCACTGCCCAAATTACAATACCAAAAGTATTCTGCCAATACACATTGCCTGTGAAACCCAAGGTAAGAATCTAGCCACAAATAAAGATCCCATACAGAGCCTTGGCCCTCTGGAAGCACCTAGAAACAAAGCTAATTAACTATACTCAACTTGCACAACAGTTAAACCCTAAAGGGAAATAAAGAATATCAAAACAAAAAGCCTCATAGAAATTACAGCAAATCCAAAACACAAAGGAGCACATGCCTGCTCAGATGAGAAAGAATCAGTGCTAGAACTCTGGCAATTCAAAAAGTCAGAGTTTCCCTTTATCTTCAAACAAGGCAACTCCTCTGCAATGGTTCTTAACCAAATTGAAATGACTTAAATGAAAGCCATAAAGTTCAGAATCTGGATGGCAAGGAAGCTGATCAAGATACAGGTAAAAGTTGAAACCCAATCCAAGGTATCCAGTAAAACTATCCAAAAGTAGAAAGAAGACAAAATAGCCACTTTAAGAAAGAACCAAATGGAACTTCTGGAATTGAAAAAATTACTACAAAAATTACCTAATACATTTTGAAGCATTAACAACAGAATAGTCCAAGCCAAGGAAAGAATCTTGGAGCTTGAAGACAGAATCTTATAATCAACTTAGACAAAAATAAAAAAAAAATTAAATTGTGACAAAACCTCTGAGAAATATGGGATTATGTAACAAGACTAACCTAAAACTAATTGATATTCCTGACAGGAGAGAGAAGAAATAACTTGGAAAACATATTTGAGGATATGGTCCATGAAAATTTCCTCAATCTCATTAGAGAGGTTGACATGCAAATTCAAGAAATATACAGAACCTATGTGAGATACTATACAAGACAAACATTCCCAAGACACATAGTCATCAGATTCACGAAGGTCAATGTGAAAGAAAAAATTGTTAAAGGCAACAAGAGAGAAGGCTCTAGTCACTTACAAAGGAAACTCTATCAGGCTAGAAGAAGACCTCTAGTCAGAAAACTTACAAGCCAGAAAAGATTGTGGTTCTATATTCAGCATTCTTAAAGAAAAGAAATTCCAACCAAGAATTTCATATCCCACCAAGCTATGCTTCATAAGCAAAGGAGAAATAAACTTCCAAAGCAAGAAAACACTAAGGGAATTTATTATCACTAAACCAGCTATACAGGAGGTTCTTACGGAAATGATAAACATGGAAATGAAATAATTATATCTTCTACCATGAAAACACACTTAAGCACATATCCCACAGACACTATGAAACAACTACACAACCAAAGCTACACAACAAACAGCTAACAACAAGATGACATGATCAAAATCTTACGTATCGATACTAACTAACCTTGAATGTAAAAAAGTCAAAATGCCCCACTTAAAAGACATAGAGTGGTAAGTTCAATAAAAAGACAAGACCCAACTGTCTGCTGTCTTCAAGAGACCCATCTCCCAGGCAGTGACACCCACAGACTCAAAGTAAAGGGATAGAGAAAGATCTATCTTGCAAATGGCAAACAAAAAAAGAGCAGGGGTTACTCTTCTCATATCATATAAAACAGAGTTTAAATCCACAACAATCAAGAAAGACAAAGAAGGGCATTACATAATGATGATGGGTTCAATTCAACAAGAAAACTTAACTGTCCTAAATATGTATGCATCCAACATTGGAGCATAACATCTGCATACAAACAGATTTGTAAAAGAAGTTCTTTTGGACCTATGAAAAGACTTAGGCAACCACAAAATAACAATGGGAGACTGCAACACCCCACTGACAACATAAGAGAGATCACTGAGGCAGGAAACTGACAAAGGAATTTCGGGCTTAAATTTGACACTCAACCAACTGGACCTAATAGACATCAACAGAATCATCCACCCAACAACCACAAAACAGACTTCCACTGCACACAGAACATATTCTAATATTGAGCATATGCTTGACCATAAAGTAAGCCTCAATAAATTTTAAAAAATCAAAATTATACCAAGCATATGCTCAGACCACAGTGCAATAAAAATAGAAATCAGTACCAAGAAGATATCTCAAAACTGCACAATTACATGGAAATTAAACAACTTGCTCCCAAATGACTTTTGGGTGAACAACAAAATCAAGAAAGAAATAAAAAATAATTTCTTTGAAATTAATGAAAATAGAGAAATAACATATCAAAATATTTTGGGATGCATCCAAAGCAGTGTTAAGAGGAAGTTTACATCACTCAACACCTACAACAAAAGTTAGAAAGATCTCAAGTTAACAATCTAATATTGCATTGCACCTAATGGAACTAGAAAAACAAGAACAAACCAAATCCAAAGATAGCAGATGAAAATAAATAACTAAAATTAGAAAAAAACTGAATGAAATTGAGATGCAAAGTTCATACCAAAGATCAATGAAACCAAAAGTTGGTACTTCGAAAGAATAAAAAAGACCAATTGAACACTAGCTAGATTAACAAAGAAAAAGATAAGTTTCAACTAAGCATAATCAGAAATAAAAAAGATGGCTTTACAACCAATCCCACAGAAATACAAAAGGTCCTCAGACTATTATGAAAACCTCTATAACACAAATTGGAAGATCTAGAGGAAATGGATAAATTCATAAAAACACATACCCTTCCAAGATTGAACCAGGAAGAAAGTGAAAACTTGAACTGACAAATAATGAATTCTAAAATTGAATTAGTAATTAAAAAACTCCTACAAGACAACAACAAAAAAAGCCCAGGACCAGAAGGATTCACAGGTAAATACTACCAGACATACAAGGAAGAATTGCTATCAATCCTACCATAGCTATTCCAAAAATAGAGGAGGAAGGAGTCCTCCTTAACTCATTCTATGAAGCCAGCATTATCCTGATACCAAAATCTGGCATAGACACAATGAAAAAAGAAAATTTCGTGCCAATAACCATGATGAACATAAACACAAAAATCATCAACAAAATACTTGCAAGCCCAATCCAGCAGTACAACAAAAAGTTAATTCACCACATTCAAGTAGGCTTCATTCCTGGGATTCAAGGTTGGTTCAACTTATGCAAATCAATAAATGTGATTCACCACATAAGCAGAATTGAAAACAAAAGAACATGTGATTATCTTAAGTGATGCAGAAATAGCTATCAATAAAGTCCAACATCCCTTCATGATAAAAACCCTCAAGAAACTAGGCATCAAAGAAACATACCTCAAAATAATAATAGCCATCTATGAGAAACCCACAGCCAATAGCATGCTGAACACAAAAGCTGGAAACATTCTTCTTCAGAACTGGAACAAGACAAAGATGTTCTCTCTAACCCTCCCATTCAACATAGTATGGGAAGTCCTAGCCAGAGCAATCAGACAAGAGCAAGAAATAAAAGGCATCCAATTAAGAAAAGAAGTCAAACTCTCTCTCCTTGCTGATAGGATTCTATACTTAGAAAAGACTAAAGACTCCACCAAAAGCTTCCTAGACCTAGTAAATGATTTCAGTAAAGTTTCAGAATACAAAACTAATGTAAAAATTCAGTAGCATTTTCTTTAATTCTTTTTAAATGTTCCTCTCCTCCTCCTTCTCCTTCTTCTTCTTCTTTATTTATTTTTTTTTTTTGACAGAGTCTTGCTCTGTCACCCAGACTGGAGTGCAGTGGCATGATCCTGGCTCACTGCAACCACTGATTCCCACATTCAAGCGATTCTTCTGCCTCAGCCTCCAGTGTAGCTGGGATTACAGGCATGCACCACCACTCCCGGCTAATTTTTTGTATTTTTAGTACAGACAGGGTTTCACCATGTTGGCCAGGCTGGTCTTGAACTCCTGACCTCAGGGTGATCTGCCCCTTGGCCTCCCAAAGTGCTGGGATTACAGACATGAGCCACCATGCCCGGCCTGTTTTTTTCTTCTTTAACTTTTATTTTATGTTCAGTGGTACAAGTGCAGATTTGCTACATAGGTAAACGAGTCACAGAGGTTTGTTGTACAGATTATTTTGTCACCCATGTACTAAGCTTAGTATCCATTAGTTATTCTTCCTGATCCTCTCCCTCCTCCCACCTTCCACCTTCTAAAAGGCCAAGTGTGTGTTGCTCCTCTCTACATGTCCATGTGTTCTCATCATTTATCTCCCACTTATAAGTGAGAACATGCAGTATTTGATTTTCTGGTCCTGTGTTAGTTTGCTAAGAATAATGGCCTCCAGCTCCATGCATGTCCCTGAAAAGGATATGATCTTGTTCTTTTTATGGGTGCATAGTATTCCATGGTGTACATGTACCATATTTTCTTTATCCAGTCTATCATTGATGGGCATTAGGTTGATTCCATGTCTGCTATTGAGAATAGTGCTGCAGTGAACATACGCATAAATGCATCTTTACAATTGAATGATTTATTTTGCTTTAGGTATATACCCAGTAATGAGATTGCTGTGTTGAATGGTATCTCTGTCTTTAGGTCTTTGAGGAATTGCCACACTTTCATAATGGCTGAACTAATTTACACACCTCCAACAGTGTATAAGTGTTCATTTTACTCCACAACCTCACCAGCATCTGTCATTTTTGACTTTTTAATAGTAGTCAATCTGACTGGTGTGAGATGATATCTCATTGTGGTTTTCATTTGCATTTCTCTAATGATCAGTGATGTTGAGCTTTTTATCATATGCTTATTGGCCACATATATGTCTTCTTTTGAAAAGTATCTGTTCATGTCCTTTGCTGACTTTTTTTTTTTACAGGGTTGTTTTTTTTCTTGTAAACTTGTTAAGTTCCTTACAGAAGCTGGATATTAGACCTTTGTCAGATGCATAGTTTGCAAAAACATTTTGTCCATTCTGTAGGTTGTCTGTTTACTCTGTTGACAGTTTCCTTTGCTGTGTCCAGGATTAATTCCTGGACACATACACCCTCCCAAGAGTGAACCAGGAAGAAATTTAATCCTTTAACAGACTAATAATGAGTTTTGAAATTGAGGCAGTAATAAATAGCCTGCCAAACAACAACAACAAAAAGGCCAGGACTAGGCAGATTCGCAGCTGAATTCTACCAAATGTACAAAGAGGAGCTGGGACCATTCCTGCTGAAACTATTCCACAAGATAGAGGAAGAGGGACTCCTCCCTAGCTCGTTCTATGAGGCCAGCATCATCCTGATATCAAAACCTGGCAGAGATACAACAAAAAATGAAAACTTCAGGTCAATACCCTTGATGAACATCAATGCAAAAATCCTCAACAAATACTGGCAAACCAAATCCAGCAGCTCATCAAAAAGCTTATCCACCACAATCAAGTAGGCTTCATCCCTGGAATGCAAGGTTGGTTAGACATATACAAATTAATAACTGTGATTTATCACATAAACACAGCTAAAGACAAAAAACACATGATTATCTCAATAGATGCAGAAAAGGCTTTCTATAAAATTCAACACCCATTTATGTCAAAATCTCTCAATAAACTAGGTATGGAAGGAACATACCTCAAAATGATAAGAGCCATGTGTGAAAAACCCACAGCCAACATCATACTGAATGGGCAAAAGCTGGAAGCATTCCCATTGAAAACCAGCACAAGAAAAGGATGCCCTCTCTCATCACTCCTACTGAACATAGTATTGAATGTTAGGTACATTCAAGTACTGAACAGGGCAATCAGGCAAGAGAAAGAAATAAAGGCATCCAAATAGGAAGAGAGGAAGTCAAACTATCCCTGTTTGCAGATGACATGATCCTATATCTAGAAAACTCCACAATCTCAGTCCAAAAGTTTCTTAAGCTGATAAACAACTTCAGCAAAGTCTCAGGATACAAAATCAATATGCAAAAATCACTAGCATTCCTATCCACCAACAAAAGTCAAGCAGAGAGCGAAATCAGAAATGACCTCCTATTCACAATTGCCACAAAAAGGAATACAGCTAATTAGGGAGGTGAAAGATTTCTACAAGTAGAACTACAAAACACTGCTCAAAAAAAATCAGAGATGACACAAAGAAATGGAAAATGATTCCATGCTTATGGATAGGAAGAATCAATATTGTTAAAATGACCATACTGCACAAAGCAATTTACAGATTCAATGCTATTTCCATTTAACTATCTTTGACATTCTTCACAGAACTACAGAAAAACTTTTCAAAATCATATGGAACGAAAAAAGAGCCTGTATAGCCAAGGCAATACAAAGCAAAAATAACAAAGCTTGGGGGCATCACACTACTCAACTTTAATTTATACTACAGGGCTACACTAACCAAAACAGCATGGTACTGGTACAAGAACAGATACATAGACCAATGGAACAGAATAGAGAACCCAGAAATAAGGCCAGACACCTATAACAATCTGATCTTTGACCAAGCTTTCAAAAACAAGTAATGGGGAAAGAATTCCCTATTCAATAAATGGTGCCAGGATAACTGCCTAGCCATATGTAGAAGATTGAAATTGGACCCCTCGTTACACTATATGCAAAAATAAACTAAAGATGAACTAAAGACTTAAATGTAAACTCCAAAAGTATAAAATTCCTGGAAGACAATCTAGGCATTACCATTCAGGACATAGGCATGGACAAAGATTTAATGACCAAGATGTCAAAAGCAACGGCAACAAAAGCGAAAATTGACAAATGATATCTAATTAAACCAAAGAGCTTCTGCTGAGCAAGAGAAAATATCAAGGGAGTAAACAGACAACCTACAAAATAGGAGAAAATATGCACAAACTCTGACAAAGTTCTAATATGCAGAATCTGTAAGGAACTTAAATCAACAAGCAAAAAATCATTAAAAAGTAGGCAATGGATATGAACATACACTTCTCAAATGAAGACATACAAGCAACCACCAAACATGAATAAAATGCTCATCATCACTAGTGATCAGAGAAATGAAAATTAAAACCACAATGAGATAACCATTTCACACCAGTTAGAATGGCTATTATTAAAAAGTCGATAAACAACAGATGCTGGTGAGGGTGCAGATCAAAGGGAATGCTAATGCACTGTTGGTAGGAATGTAAATTAGTTCAGCCACTGTGGAAAGCGGTTTGGAGATTCCTCAAAGAACTACGAGTTTACCATTTGACCCAGCATTCTCATTTCTGGGTATATACCCAAAGTAAAAAAAAGCATTCTACCCAAAGACACATGCACCTGCATGTTCATTGCAGCGTTATTTCAAAATAGCAAAAACATGGAATCAACCCACGTGCCCATCAATGTTGGACTGGAAAAAGAAAATGTGGTACATATACACCATGTAATACTGTGCAGCCATAAAAAAAAAATCATGTCTTTTGAAGCAAAATGGATGTAGCTGGAGGCCATTATCCTATATAAAACGAACAGAAGCAGAAAACCAGATAGTGCATTTTCTCACTTAAATGTGGGAGCTAAACATGGGATACTCATGGGCATAAAGATTGGAACAGTAGACACTGGGGACTACTGAAGGGTGGAGAGATGGCGGCAGGCAAGGGCTGAAAAACTATGGGTACCATGTTCACTACTTGGGTGATAGGATCATTCATACCACAAACCTCAGCATCGTGTAAACCTTTGTAACAAACCTGCGCTTGTACTCCCTTATTCTGAAATTTAAGTTGAAAAATAAATAAAATACAAAAATTATTTTCTATTGCCTGCTTTCCTCCCTCCCTTTATGTGTCAGCATTTCTTCTTTATTTGCAAGTTTTATAATTTTCTGTCGAAAATTAGACATTTTGAATAATATGCTGTAGCAACTCTGGATACCGATCCCTGTTCCCACACCCCCACCTCTTGCTAGGGGTTGTTTGCCTGATTATGTACTTAGTACTTTCCCTAAACTAATTCTTCAAAGTCTTTTGTTTTCTCCAAATTGTTTATCTTCTAATGTCCCTGTTCAGATTTTTTTATCTTGGTTTTTTGTTTTGGTTTTGGTTTTTTTGTTTGTTTGTTTTTTCCCTTCTGACTGAACTGGGATGCCCCCGGGCTTGAATAAGCCACCTAGTGGTAAAAACTTGTGCTTATGACACCTTACCCAGTTATATTTTTACACTATTGGATATATGTGTGGCTTGGGAGCTGCCATCGCAGTTCAGGATATTTGCATTTCTTTGACCCACATTCAGCCAGAGACTAGTGTATTGGAAACTCCCTCCGTGATTGCACATGAGAGCGTGCAGCCTTGGGCATGCACACGGTTGTCCAGACTGCCATGTATGAACCTGATTTTATTTTTAGCTTGGTTTCCTAGGAATTGCCCCTGGACCAGAGCAACTTTTTGTTCAACAATTTGTTAGAGGTTACATTTAAGCCCCTTGCGCCAGTGAGTCATGTGACCTGTGTTGATGGTCTGTCCAGCTTGTGATATGCTTTCATTTCTTCCCCCACTTTCTGTTCTGCATGCGCCTGAGTGGTTGTGGCCTAGCACATATGCATAGCTTTCTTGACTCCCATAAAGAGTCCCAGGAGGACTCTTTTTAGCCATCTCTTTCCCTATTTATCTTCAGGCTGTTCTGCCATTTTGCTTGTATTCTAGAGCCTCCAGCCTCCTCTTAATTGCTCTCCACCAAGTCCACCATTATTTTCAGCAACATTCTTAGATGTGGATTTTTACATTATCTGTTTCAAATGAAGTCAGTCCCATCACACAGAGCTGCATAGCATTTGTACTTATAGACTGCCTGTATTAGTTTGTTTTCACGCTGCTGATAAACACATATCTGAAACTGAGAACAAAAAGAGGTTTAATTGAACTTAACAGTTCCACATAGCTGGGGAGGCCTCAGAATTATGGCGGGAGGTGAAAGGCACTTCTTAACATGGCAGTGGCAAGAGAAAATGAGAAAGATGCAAAAACGGAAACCCCTGATAAACCCATAAGATTTCATGAGATTTACTCACTATCAAGAAAATAGCATGGGAAAGACCAGCCCCCATGATTTGATTACCTCCCCCTGGTTCTCTCCCACAACACGTGGGAATTCTGGGAGATACAATTCAAGTTGAGATTTTGGTGGGGAGACAGCCAAACCATATCACTGCCTTTCAACCTGGGAAGAATCCCTGTGCCACTGCACCAGAACTGGGGCAGGTACCCACTTTTTCCAGTGACAATCTCTGTTCTGTCAGTGGGCACTGAGGGGAGGTGGCAGTCTATGATCTCCTTGGCTTGCTCCTCTCATTGTAGATTCTCTGACCAAGGAGTATGTTGGATGGAGTTGATCAGGAACCCAATATTTTCAGCCTGCCATGTCTGGTATAGAGTTTCCATTCTACAAGTGGGGGACAGGGTAGAGGAAGAGAGTACGACTTCTCAACCACTCTTGCCCGAAACAGGAACTGAGGGGCAGGAGGTAGTTGGATGAAGCAGGTCATGGCTCAAATATCACAGACTTTCAATGTTCTTAACAAGGTTTAGTAGTTTTTCTTGAATATTTTTCTACTTGCTGTCCTCCCTTAAATGAGTTCCAGAGACTTTAAATGATTAATTTTTAAAAAATATGTAATTTTCACCAGTGAAATCATTGAATCATTGTTTTATTGTAGAGAGTGTCTGTCAAACTCCTTACTTCTCCATTCTTAAAATCCCAAACCCGAACATAAGTTTCTATTGTTTGTTTGATCTGTTACAATGATGAATTGTTGATTTTTGAATATTAAACCAAACTTTTGTTACTGGGATAAATTGTGCTGGATTAATGTAGTATCCTTTTTATATATTGCTAGATCCAATTTGCTAAAATTTTGTTAAGGATCTGACACCTGTATTCTACTAGTGATATTAGCCTATACATTTCTTTTCTCATGATGCCTCTGACTGCTTTTTCACCAGAGTAATGCTGACCTCATAGAATGAGTTGAGAAGTATGCCCTACTATTTTATATTTTGGAAGAGTTTATGTAAGATTGATATTATTTATTTGTTAATTTTTTGGTAGAGTTAACTAGTAAAGTCATCCTGGACTGGAGTTGACTTTGTGTGAAAGCATCTAATTGTAAATTCAATTTTAAAAATTGACCCATACTTATTCAGATTATCTATTGCTTCTTGAGTGAGTTTTTGTAGTTTGTGTCTCTTGAAGAATTTGTGCATTTCATCTAAATTGCCAAGTTTTTGGCATAAAATTGCCATAATATTTCTTTATTATTCTTTCAAAGACTATAGGACCTATAGGGATATCCCTTCTTTCTTTCTTGATATTGGTAAACTGTATGTTCTCTTTCTTTGCTAACCAGTCTGACTAGAGTTGTGTCAATTTTAGTGATATACTTGAAGAACCAGCTTTCAATTTAATTGATTTTCCTATACTGTTTCTCTCTTTCCTATTTCACTAATTTCTTCTCCTATTTTTGTTTTTTCTTATGTTATTTTCCACTTACTTTTCTGTTTCTTTTCCAGTTTCAAAACATGGAAACATAGGTCATTGATTTTAGACCATTCTTCTTTCGTAATATAAAATTTGAATGCTATAAATTTCTACTTAAGCACTATTTTACCTGCATCCCACAATTTTGATAAGTTATATTTTCATTTGCATTCAGTTCAAAATATTTTCTAATTTCCCTTTTAATTTGTACTTGGATCTACAGGTTTTTTAGATTTAAATTTTTTGGTTTCCACATATTTGGGGATTTCATCTATATATTTACTAATTTTCTTTCTACTTATATCAATTACCTTGAAAGGCGTGCCAAAATCTCCAACTCTGATTGTGGATTTGTTTATTTCTCCTTTCAGTTCTATCAGTATTTGCTTCATATATTTTGAATTTCTGCTGGGAGGGTACATAAACATTTAGGATTGTTATGTTTTATTGATAAATGAACATTTAGGACTGCTACATTTTGTTGATGAATTGACACCTTTATCATTATAAAATCACCCTTTATCTGCACTAATGCTTCTTATTCTGAAGGCTACTTCATCTGATATTTATATAACTACTCCAACTTTCTTTTGATTAGAAATTGCATGGTACATATGTTTCCATCCTTTTACTCTAATCTATTAGTTTGTTTGTATTTAAAGTGTTAAGGATTGTATGGTTTTTGTAAATAGCATGTGTAGTTGGGTCTTGAGTTTTTATCAAATTTAACAATCTTTGCTTTTTAATTGAGTGTTTAGGCAATACATATCTATATGGATAGATTTAAATTTACTATCTTGCTATTTGTTTTCTATTTACCTCACATTTTCTTTCTTTCTCTTTTCCTCTCTTCTTTTGGATGAATTATTTCTTCATGTTTCATTTAACCTATTTTATTAGCTTATTAGGTATACTTCTTTCTTTTGTTTGCTGTAGGGTTCATAATATTCTTCAAGTGATCACTGCCGACTTCCAATAATATTATATCCCATCACATGTAGCATAACAACTCTGTAATAATCAACTTCCATTTCCTTCATATGACTAATATGACTTCTACTATTTTTATCATATAAACTTCTTTCACATATATTATTAGCCCCTAAATACATTATTGTTTTTGTTTTCAACAGCCAACTATCTTTTAAAGAAATGTTAACAATAAGAAAAACAATGTTGTAAATTTACCTACATATTTATCTTTTCTGGTGCTATGTATTACTTTGATCAAATTCAAATTTCTATCTTGTATCATTTTCCCTTTGCCTTAAAAACTTCTTTTAACATTTTTTATCATGCTTCTCTGGTGAAGACTTCTTTTGGCCTTTTAAGTCTAAAAACAGTCTTTATCAATTCTTCATTATTCAAAAGTATTTTTGTTGTGTATAGACGAGTAAGCTGGTCATTTTTAAAAATTTTTTATTATACTTTAACTTCTAGGGTACATGTGCACAATGTGCAGGATTGTTACATATGTATACATGTGCCATGTTGGTGTGCTGCACCCATTAACTCATCATTTGTATTAGGTATATCTCCTAATGCTATCCCTTCCCCCTCCCCCCACCCCACGACAGGCCCCAGTGTGTGATCTTCCCCAACCTGTGTCCAAGTGTTCTCATTGTTCAATTCCCACCTATGAGTGAGAACATGTGGTGTTTGGTTTTCTGTCCTTGCGGTAGTTTGCTCAGAATTATGGTTTCCAGCTTCATCCATGTCCCTACAAAGGACGTGAACTCATCCTTTTTTATGGCTGCATAGTATTCCATGGTGTATATGTGCCACATTTTCTTAATCCAGTCTATCATTGATGGACATTTGGGTTGGTTCCAAGTCTTTGCTGTTGTGAATAGTGCCACAATAAACATACGTGTGCATACGTCTTTATAGCAGCATGATTTATAATCCGTTGGGTATATACCCAGTAATGGGATGGCTGGGTCAAATGGTATTTCTAGTTCTAGATCCTTGAGGGATCGCCACACTGTCTTCCACAATGGCTGAACTAGTTTACAGTCCTGCCAACGGTGTAAAAGTATTCCTATTTCTCCACATCCTCTCCAGCACCTGTTGTTTCCTGACTTTTTAATGATCGCCATTCTAAGTGGCCTGAGATCACTGTGGTTTTAATTTGCATTTCTCTGATGGCCAGTGATGGTGAGCATTTTTTTCATGTGTCTGTTGGCTGCATAAATGTCTTCTTTTGAGAAGTGTCTGTTCATATCCTTTGCCCACTTTTTGATGGGGATGTTTGATTTTTTCTTGTAAATTTGTTTGAGTTCTTTGTAGATTCTGTATATTAGCCCTTTGTCAGATGGGTAGATTGTAAAAATTTTCTCCCATTCTGTAGGTTGCCTGTTCACTCTGATAGTAGTTTCTTTTGCTGTGCAGAAGCTCTTGAGTTTAATTAGATCCCATCTGTCAATTTTGGCTTTTGTTGCCATTGCTTTTGGTGTTTTAGTCATGAAGTCTTTGCCCACGCCTATGTCCTGAATGGTATTGCCTAGGTTTTCTTCTAGGGTTTTTATGGTTTTAGGTCTAACATTTAAGTCTTTAATCCATCTTGAATTAATTTTTGTATAAGGTGTAAGGAAGGGATCCAGTTTCAGCTTTCTACATATGGCTAGCCAGTTTTCCCAGCACCATTTATTAAAAAGGGAATCCTTTCCCCATTTATTGTTTTTGTCAGATTTGTCAAAGATCAGGTGATTGTAGATGTGTGGTATTATTTCTGAGGGCTCTGTTCTGTTCCATTGGTCTATATTTCTGTTTTGGTACCAGTACCATGCTGTTTTGGTTACTGTAGCATTGTAGTATAGTTTGAAGTCAGGTAGCGTGATGCCTCCGGCTTTTTTCTTTTGGCTTAGGTTTTTCTTGGTAATGTGGGCTCTTTTTTGGTTCCATATGAACTTTAAAGTAATTTTTTCCAATTCTGTGAAAAAAGTCATTGGTAGCTTGATGGGGATGGCATTGAATCTATAAATTACCTTGGGCAGTATGGCCATTTTCACGATATTGATTCTTCCTACCCATGAGCATGGACTGTTCTTCCATTTGTTTGTGTTCTCTTTTATTTCCTTGAGCAGTTGTTTGTAGTTCTTGAAGAGGTCCTTCACATCTCTTGTAAGTTGGATTCCTAGGTATTTTATTCTCTTTGAAGCAATTGTGAATGGGAGTTCACTCGTGATTTGGCTCTCTGTTTGTCTGTTATTGGTGTATAGGAATGCTTGTGATTTTTGCACATTGATTTTGTATCCTGAGACTTTGCTGAAGTTGCTTATCAGCTTAAGGAGATTTTTTACATTTTTTTTAAAAAAGTACTTTAACAATATTGCTCTTCTGTCTTCTGACTTTCATTGTGACTGAGAAGTTTTTTGTTAATCTTATGATTTTTGTTCTTTGAATAATGTCCTTTCTTCTCTGAGGCTGTTTTTAAGATTCTCTTTCACTGGTTTTCAAGAATTTGATAATGATGTGCCTCTCTGTAGTTTTCTTCATGTTTCTTTTTTTCACGTTCACTGAGCTTCTTGGATACGTGTGTTTATAGCTTTACATCATGCTTGGAAATAATTTGGTCATTATGTCAATTATTTTTTTCCACCACCAATCCTGCAGGACTTTAATTATATATATATGAGGACATTTGATATTTTCCACAGTTATTTCATGCTGCATTCATTTTTTTCCGTTTTCTTTTATGTTTTATTTTAAATTATTTATTTTGATGTATTAAAATTTATCGGTCTTTTTGTAATGCAGTGCCTAATCTGCTGTTAACTCCACCTAATTTTTTTAATGTTTAGTAGTCCAATGTGGATCTTTTTTATATTATCTATTTCTCTCCTGTGTTCATGCTTTCCTCTAACTTCTTGAATATACCTTGTATATTTTATATGTTTCTAATAGATGCACATTTACCTACTAATTTTTTTATCAGTGTTGTCTCTTGGTCTGTTTCTACTAATTTATATTTCTCTTCATTATTAGTCGTATCGTCCATTGCATGACTATTCATTTTTCGTTGAATGCCATGAATTGTGATTTTATATTGTTGAGTTTTAGATTTTCGCTAGGGTATTACTTAAAATATTTGGAGTTTTGTTCTGAGATGAAATTATTTGGAAACAATTTAATACATCCAAGCCTTGCTTTTAAACTCTTTGAGAATAACCTGTACTTTGAGGCTAATTTTATCCCACTACTAAGGCAATATTCTGCAGTATCTATCTGATGGCCTCTATATCAGGAGAGCTTTTCACTCTGGTTTTGTTAGTGGAACACAAAACATTACCATCCCTATGAGAGCTCCCAAAATTGCCAGCCTGCTCCTTTCTAGTCATTATTTCCTAAGTCTTGGTAGCTTCTTCACATACAGGCACACTGATCAGTTTTCACCCAAAGGCTTTTGGGAAAACCTCTACAGCTGTCCTGACCTCTCTCTATCTATGTAGCTCTCTTCTGTCTGATACTCTGCCCCACAAACTCTGGGTGCCTTTGCCTATATTTACTCTAAACTTTATCACCTTATCTTGGTGAGACTGCTGGGATCTGTTTAGCTTCCTTTTACTTATCCCGTGACCAAGAAAATCTCTCCAGGCAGTGAGCTAGGCACTTGTAGGGCCCATATCATTTGCTTCCCTTTTCTGGGGTCACTGTCCTGTGCTGCCAGTCGTCCATCATGGCCAGAAACAGAAGTCCCTCTATTTTATTTTCTTGAAAATAATGGTTGTACATCTCTGTCCATTGAAATAGGGTTTTTTTATTTTTTTGTTTTTTCAGTAACAGTTAAAAAGTCATTCAGAGCCGAATTGGCTTAATTAGGGCAATCAAACTAGGAGTGACTAAAAAGGAATGAAAGTTATTTTCTCATGCAGCCTGTAAACTAACTCTTTTCTTGCCAACAGGTACAGGACACAATATCCAATCCTAGGCCTCCTATATGATGACTACGAATATATACCACCAGGTAGTGAAACACAGACTATTGTGATTGAGAAAACAGAAGACAAATACACTTGTGTAAGTTCACTTGGGCATTTTTAGCCCTATTTTGACGATATATGTACAGCCTTTTAAAATTGAGGTAAAATATCAAATGAACTAAAAACTTTGAGTATTTTTTTCTTTTGAGATTTTCTGTTTCCATTATTGATATACAGTGGGAATTAACAAATTTTGGAAAGATTCATACATGTGGCAATATAATTGATTATTTAAGCTATAATATAAATATAATTTTTGCCCCTCAAAAGGAAGAAGATTAACATTAGTGATATGCTAATTTTATTTATTTTCTTGCCTAGCTCGGTAGTTATTGAATGGGTTCCATTAAAATTTTCCAAAACAGTTTCCCTTTTTCTAAAGCAGGTAGCAAATATCATAGACAATTATGAAGGCAACTGGAAAATGGAGAAGAGGCATGTTTCAATAGAATTTGTCTTGCAATCTTGCATGTGGTACTTATTCCTGTGGATTTTATATATATATATATTATATATATTAGGATTTAGAAAGAAGAGATGTTTCTAGCTTCCTCACTAGACTGTAACATCCTCCAGCCTTAAATCCCACAGTTATAGTGAGGTTGCTGAAGAGTACTTTAAACATCATATACTCCAATATTTACTCTACCTTCTACAACATCCTCCAAAATGGCCAGGTGACATGGACCTTAGCATCTTTCTAAGTGGTCCAATCCATTGCTAAGGGGACTGATTATTGAAACCTTCTTATAAAGGACTGAGAGCTACTTCCCTAAAACTTTTACATATTGCTCTATTAACTTTTAAAGTAATGATCATCAAATAGGGGATATATAGTTGTCCCTCAATATCCATGAGAGATTGGTTCCAGGATCCCCTACAGATATCAAAATCTGTAGATGCTCAAGTCCCTTATCGGCATAATATTTGCATATAACCTATGCACATCTTACTGTATACTTTAAGTCATTTCTAGCTTACAATAACTAATTCAATGTAAATTCTAAGTACGTGTCATACCGTCTTGTTTAGGAGGTAATAACAGTAAAAAAAAAAAAAAGTCTGTACATGTTCAGTACAGAAATGATTTTTTTCCTGAATATTTTCAACCCATCATTGGTGGGGAACCCATGAATACCAAGGGCCAACTATATATTCCCTAGCACAGTTGCTCTCTACAGCAACAATTTTGTACCTTACGGGACATTTAGCAATGTCTAGAGACATTTTTGGTTTTCACAACCAGAGGGGTGGGTGTTATTGGCATCTAGTGGTTAGAGAACTAGGATGCTTCTGAACATACTACGATGTGCAGGACAGTCTCCCATAACAAAGAATTATCCAGCCCCTAATAAGTAGTGTTGAGGTTGAAAAACTCTGCTAACAGAATGCTCTTGGGTTTTTTTCCTAATTATATACTCCTACACTGGTGCAAGAGATTCTAATAGTAAGCCACTGGTAGGGATCATAGGAATGTGTGATATCCTTCTGGTGAAATGAACAGAGAAATGTTTGAGGATTCTAGTTCTCAAATCATACAGATCTGACTTAAAACATTGTGAAAATGACAGCCTTTGACTTCTTATGATAAAATTATCTACCTGTCAAACTACTGAGGTATAAAAGTAGGCAAAACTAAATCTATGGCTATTAAATGAAGAAATGGTTATCCTTGTGGGATGGATACTGATTAAAAGGAAGCATAAGGAGAGATTCAAGGTCTTAATAATGTTCTGTTTCTTTATCTGGGAGATGGTTACATATGCATGTTCGGTTTGGGAAAATTCATTTATTTGAATACTTATAATATGTCCATTTCTTTCTACATGTTTATTGTACTTCAGTAAAAGCCTTAAAATGCTTAAGTGTACCGTGGTGAGCAATAGACAAATATACAAATATCAATCCAGTATTCTGCAGAACCTTTTGAAAAATATTTAAAAATTATGCTTCAGATGTATAGTTAATAAAATTAAACATCTAAACATCTGTTAAATAACTTCTAGAAACATCTTTTGGTTGAACAAGCTCAAATATTTGAGTCAACAAAAAAATTCAAAAAGTTTCTTTAGAGCTGAAGCCCTTCTTTAACTACAATCCAGCCATCAATCTTTTAAGTATGGTTGTTATCATCAATGAAAACAACCAATGTTTAGTAATCCCAAAGTAAAAATAACTGCATTTAAACTCTGAAATGTTGTTTTTGTTAGGTCATTAGTTAGCTGAAAATTACTTACTACTAATTATTAACCCATAGAATTTAAAATTGGCCACTCAAAGATAATTTGATGCCCAAAGTTAAGACTGAGAAGCAATTGCTGCCACTAACCCTAACCACATGTATCCCAGAGGTGGCAATATGAAGACCTGCCAAATAAAGTTTCTACAGAATAGTAGCCACTACTTCTCTCTCCATTAAAAATGTGCAGCAGTAAAAATCAAAATTGATATTTGAAGAATCTATAGATACTGATAGCAAGGTCAGAATATATTTAAATGCATTCACAGATGAAAATCCATATTTATTAAGAGACAATTGGACATATTTAAACTCTAAATATTACTAAGAAGGAAATCTACTTAATTGTCCTTCACTCTTGCTTAAAGTCATTTGAAACATACCATGAGTAAAGTAAGAAAGACAAATCATTGTTTCATTGAATATATATATATAAAAGAGTGCCACAAAAGTGCAATACATGTCCTTTGGTTTTATACATACCAATTTAAATAATTTTCCATAACTTTGCATATAGTAACAATGACTTTAATTATGAACCAGTTGTAAGATAACCTTTTTTTTTCTTTTCTAGCCATGAATGGATCCACTTTAAAGTATTACAACTCAAAGCCGTTTTTTTTTTGTGTGTGTGTCTCTGCATTAGTACTTTGTTATTTTTCCATCACTAAAGGCCAATCAGAATTTGGAACCATGCTGCTACCCAAGAAATCTAATGGAATGAATTAGTTCTGTAGATGACAATTTCTTCACCCATTTATGAGACCTAAATCTTTTCCATAACACTCATGTATTCAGTATAACAACATACTAACTGAAAGAGGGACCTGATTGTTTAAAGTTTGATTGCAGACACTGTAGAACATAACTCATTATGTTTCAGATAAGGTAACTCCTAGATATCAAACTAATTTGTTGGGGTAGAGATTTTACAAGTCATGCCATTAGAAGATTTTCTCTGATATTATATGTGCAGTTCAGTTACAAGATGAAATCATGTTTTTTTAACAAAAGAGATAAAATACAATTGAAGCAAAAAATAACAGCTAGTATATAATATATACAGTCTGTATTTGCTTTTCACAGTAGGCCTGATGACTAAAAGATATGCTTTATTACACGCTATTTTCACCTCTTGAAAGTCAAAGGTGATGATTAATTTCATTTAGCAGGGAAGTGGAATAATATCTTTTGAAATAACTAAGTCCACTAAATTATACAGTATGCTATTCTGGTTCTAAGTACATATTAGTCCCTTGGCAAATCTGTTCTTTCAAAGCATACCTTCCCCAAATGAGCCTACCTACTTCTTAAAAAACATATAACACAATGTGGTAGTAGTAGGTGTAAGGAAGGTAAGTTTTTTCATAGTGGTATGCAAACATATCATTGAAATATTACATAGATATAAAGACTTAGGGAATAAAAATAGCAGCAACAAATACTTGATAGATTTATCCTACTTGGGAGAAATATTTTGTAGCAGAGTATTTAGTATACTTAGAAGTTGATTTAGCAATTAGGCTTTAATGACCTTACAAAGTGAACATAACTGAACACAAGTATTTTTTCAATGCAAGATGAGGATGAAAATTTTACATTTCAACCCATCTGGCTAAAGTTAAGACTTAGCAAAAATTAAAATGTTGCCTTTGTCCAAGTATAGATTAAGGCAACAAACATATTTGGGTGTGTAATTTGAAGTTTTGGACTGAAATATCTTTGCAAGTATCCACATAAAATTCTGTAATGCCTTATAATTATATTCTAATAATTATGCATTATACTAAGACACCATTAAGAACAGTTGAGGCACTACACTAAATCAAACCATAAATGAGGAAAAAACTTTTAATGTTCTTTTCTAGAAGTGTTCAAATAGGTCTTGATATGAAGCTAAAAGCCTTATTTATATTATCTTAATATTTCGGCTAAAATGTTAAGCTCCATAACATGAATTGATACAATTCCAATTTTATCAATATTTTGTGATAGAAAAATGTTAATATTATTCATGAGCTATACAGTCCTTACATTTTTTCCCTTGGTGTAGGAACAACGGAGGAGTTTCTCCTCTGCTAACTATTCATATATGTAACTGTAACAAAAGTGTACTATGTTATGCACACATTACAAATAATATAAGGGGAAGTTTTATTAGCTTAGTAGGAAATTGTTATTATTAAGGTTTAAAAATGAGAACAGGTGTGAGTTTTCCAAAATACTTAAAAATAATAGTGTCAAAAATTCAGGGGCAGTTAAGGAGTCATGGATGGAACTAGAGGTCACTATATTAAGTGACATAAGCCAGAAACAGACAAACATTGCATGTTCTCAATTATTTGCGGGATCTAAAAGTCAAAACAATTGAACTCATGGATATAGAGAGTAGAAGGATGGTTACTAGTGGCTGGGAAAAGGGGTGTGCGAGGGGAACTGGGGATGCTTAATGTGTACAAAAACTATGTAGTTAGAAAGTATAAATAAGACCTAGTATTTGATAGCACAACCGGGTGAGTATAGTCAATAATAGCTTAATTGTACAAATAACTAAGAGTATAATTGGATTGTTTGTAACACAAATAAATACTTGAGTGGATGGATACCCAATTCTCCATGATGTGATTATTTCACATTGCATGCCTGTATCAAAATATCTCATGTATCTCATAAATATATACACCTATTATATATCCACAAAGATTTTAAAAAGTAAGAAGCCAGCACTTTATTGGCTCACTTGATCCATGGATAGTGAATTGGGGTCATAACAACGTCCTTATCATACTTAACAATTTTTTAAATTGTAATACAAAATGTGATGATATAAAGAGCTGTTCTATATATTTAAATGACTATTTAAATATATGTATTTCTTTTCCAATTTGTGATTAAGATCAATAGAGGTAGTAGTGATATATTTCCCTCTCATAAGTTTCACACTGCTTATCTCTGAAAACTTCAAAGTTGTCAGGTGAGGAGTGCCTATTTATCTAATTTCTATTCCAGTATGTTTTCACTTTAGATTTGTCACATAAAATGGAGACTGCGCAATGACATGCAAAGTAATCTGTTTATGTGTCTAAATAAAATATGTGAAGTATTTACATGGTTTGTGTGAAAGTCCAAGTAGGAAATATGCAGAAGGATTTTTAGCTTAGCTGTATATTTTTGTCAGGAAATTATCATCATGTGAATGTTTATGTTGGAGCTAACAAGCATCACTCTCATTAAAAACAAAACAAAAGCAGAAAACTTCCTTATGTGGACTACTTTAACATAGTTCAACCTCCAGTTGAAGCAAGTTTCTTCTTTAAATTAGAATTTCTTTGCTTTCAAACTTAGATTTCTAAGTTCCATAACTCACTTGTTCCATAAAGCATTCTTCCCATCCTTGTAATGGTGCTTTTGTTGCCTTACTCCTTCTTAACATAGACAGTACAAAAGGAACAAAATAAAGCTTTAAAAAACTTTCCATCTCACTACCCAATTTAGATCACCTTAACAAAAAGCCATCATCACACATTTCCCATTATTGCAATCTACAAAGATGACATGTTTCTTTTGAAAATAATTATTTTGAAAGTAAATAATATGTTGTGAAAAGGTTTCCTTATGAGGTACATCTTCCCCACCACATGCCAAAACTAAATTGACTGGATTTCCATAGTACTTTTTGTCCAGTTAAAAAAATACAAAGTATTTCATGCACAACTTAGGATATATGAAATAGTACATAGAAAACATTTAAATAAAGGAAGTAATAAACAAGCGCATCTTTCTTAATAAAACATTTAACAATATTTAGTCCTGAAGAAGACATACCTCAGAATTGTTTTATGAGAAAATTAGATAGCTAGGCAGTCTTGGTAATCTTAGATTGGCCTGACACAGACAATGAGATGTTGTTAAGTTCATAGCCTTTATGTTTGGTTTCCCATCCTACCACATTAAAAAAATTCTTTTTCAAATTGAAGTATATGTTCCAGAGATCCTTTATGTTAAGGAACAGTGCTTCCAATGTAATGCTTTGATTCTGTAGTTTGTTTGCTAACAGTGTTGAATACTTATAAATCATATGTACCAAGATCCAATAAGACAGATGAATTTCTTTAAATGGGAGAAAATATAGGCTTTTTGTTCTAGTTCCCTAAAAGGGTCTGATGAGCCAGCCTTGTCATGATGGGTGAATGGTGCTGGAATCTAGGATAAGAGGGTTTTGGAATCAGATGGGAGTGACTAGGACTTACATTATAGGTTAAATGAGATAGTGTCAATATTGTCAATTGGTCCAGATTTTAAAATGGAGGAGAGTTCCCTTTGGGGTAGTTACTTGGGTAATGCTCAAAGAGAAAGGCATAACTGAAACAGGCAAGCGACACATTTTTAGTTTAAGACATCTAGTGCTATACCCTTGAAGTTACAAATTGGCCAATTTCTTCTGCAGGACCTTTAGGAATCTAAAGACCCCTCATAACAATATCCAGTTCTTATCCAGGATCCAAGACTCTAAGAGATCTTTCTCAATCAGTTCCAAATTTACAAGTTATAATTCTTTTGGAAAGACAGGGTGGAGCTGAACAAAGTTGGGAGATTGGGAATGGTCTCAAACCAATTATATTCTAGGGTTCTAATCTAGCCCTGCAGCTTCTCTAAAGCCTTATTAGTTCAAAAAAATCGTACTGTATATAATTCCAAGCCTAGTCAGCTTTTTCTTGGTTCTCACAAGGGGAAGTTGAAAGAGTTAAATGAGATGATTATTTTGTTCCTCTGCCTTCATAGAGGACGAGTCATTTCCCCCTTGGAAGTAGGCATGTCAAGAATTGTGCTATATCCTTCAAAAATTGTTGCAAATATGTCTGGGATTTGCTACAAATTAAACTAGTAGGGGAAGGATGCATCAAAATAAGCTAATCAGGTGTAAGTGGATGAAGGGATAAGTGAGGAAGAATACAAACGAAACAAGATTAGCCATAAAGTGATAATTGTTGAAGCTGGGTGATGGCTATATAGAGGTTCATTATATTTTTCTATTTTTGTACACGGTTTTCTGCAATTAAAGGGATATATATCTTTAAGAGAAGTTCAAGGTTCAAACTAAACTTGTGGTTGTCATGTAAGAGACAGGAGCAGTTGAACTTAAGGGCCCTATCTGTGTAAGAGTTCCCAAATACTATCTTCTCCATCATGGCATAAGCAATTTAAAAGTGACAATTGGATAAATCCATCTACACATATGACCCTGAACTGTTCTGGAAAAATGATTTTTCAGTAATTCCCAATTTTTTCTTTGTCTTGTGAAGGTACTTTGACTTATAGATCTACATTCTAGGTGGAATCTGTCCTGGTATGTAGGAAAGCCTTATGCCAGGAAGTTCATGTCTGCTCTACCTGGGCTGGCATTTTCTAAGCCCAATATACAAGTAGAAGAAAATCCATATACTTTTCTCCAGCCCCACTGTAACCATGACAACTAGAGTAACCACTTAACATGGCTGCATCGTTCAGCTCCTCTACATTTCTTAGAGCCTCCAGAGTGATTTTCAAAACATGTAACAGCACTGTTTTCCTTAACTTTTCCCAAGGACTTCCCGTTTCAAACTTCTCATAGGTCTCATCTCTTTTTTTTTTTTTTTTTGAAACGGAGTTTCACTCTTGTCACCCAGGCTGGAGTGCGATGGCGCGATCTCGGATCACTGCAACCGTCTCTTATCACTCCCACTTGCTAACCATTGTCCAGCCAAAGCTTGTTGCATCTCAGGTTGTTTGCACCTGCAGGTTTCTCTGCCTTGCTCTTCCACAAGACCTTCATATGGCTAGCTCCTTCTTGCGACTCATATCTCAGCTCTAATGTCATGTCCTCAGTAAGAATTCCCTCTGTCCACTCACCCACAACTATCTGTTTAAGCAAAGTAATTAACATGTGGCAGAATTACAGCAGGTGCTTTTGTCTACCACCTTATTACTCATATGGTGGCAACACATGGGAACTTAATAGGAATGCAGAATTGTAGGCCCCACCCCAAATCTATTGAATCAGAATATGCATTTCAGCAAGTTCCCTAGGTGAGCCTCTACAGACTTTAGATTTAAGAAGCACTGGTCTAACATGTGAGGCTGATATTTTCCTTTTCTGCTAGTGATTAATTAATAATTAATAATTCAACTGACAAAGAGTCTTAACTAACAGTGCCATATATATAGAATTATATGAAATGCTCACTGGTTTGAACATAGAAAGTTATTTTTATGCTCATTTGCAGAAATCTTTGCCAAATACACACAACAATACTTTTCCTTTTGAATGTATATTGGGAACATAATTAGATGTATTCACTGCTCAGGATTGTGTCATTTAAGCAAGTTAAGAACTTTTAGTTTTCTCTCTAATATGAAATCTAAGATCTTAAAATGGACACTTTTATTTATAGTATTTCATTATGATTTTAGCAAATAACATACATTCTTAAGAAATATGCATTACATAGTCATCGTAACTGTTTAAATTCCTAGTTCATGTTGTTGTTCATGAACAAAATTCAACAAGACATTAAAGAAAGGACCAATCTGCCTAAGTAACTCTGAAGTGAAGTCTTTTAATAAAAAATATGGAAACTTTAAATAAACTTATAAAACCATTAAGTGCAATAAATGCTTTTTATTGTATGCTCATTTCAATGAGTAACATTTAGAAATAATAATCCCACATAACAGTAGCGATCTTATTTTACAGCGTGTACATCATTTACAGCCACATAACACACAATTTTAGTAGATATTCCAAATTTAATATTCTGAAGTTAAGAAAGATAAAAAATTTATTCTCAAGGAACTGATTCTTATCTGGTGCAAAAACAGAAAGGTGAACATTATTTGAAACACAAAGCCACAATATAGCATGAAGTAAAATTACATTTTAATTATGTTGAACAGCTGAATGTAAACATGAAGCAACTAAAACTTAAAAGTACATATCATATGCATTACATTTATGAACAGGATTTTCATAAAATTTCCCTAAACCAGCTTTTAATATTAAGTGCCATTTTGATTTGCAGCATGCTAACACAAAGCGTTGTTAAAGGGATGCATATTTTAAGTTTATACACTGTAAACTAAATATCCACCTCCAAACTCTATTGGCAGCAGATTGCTCTGTTAAATACTGCATAAACACTGCCTCATATTGAAAATGCATGTTAATCATATGGTATATAGATTTTAAAAATCAATTTCAATAATGGCATAAAATTGCACCTTTAAACATTAGAGCAAGTAAGACTAGAACAATCATACTTGCTAAGACTGTCCTAAAAAAACTCTAGACATTATAATATTTAAGAAAACTGTGTTCTCTCAAATTAATCTTTAGATCATTAAGAAATATAGTGCTGATTTTGTTTGCAACGCTAATGTTGCATCCATTTTAGAAAGCCACATTTGACTCAAATATACTTTTGTCATATATGCCATACTGAACAACAATCAACTTGAACATCAGAAAAAAGGGAACTTTAATCTTTATAGACTTCACCTTAGATCTCAGCACAGAATGCTATATTTTAAGTATCCTATCCTGTGATAAAATATTAACAGCTCTGAATTCTTTTTTAATAGTACTGAATTAATCTAACCTGTTTTCCAGTTAGTTTTCTTTTAATGAATACACAAAACTTTTGTCATTGCTGGAATTTAATTTCCAGGTACAATATAAAAGGCTCAATGACTAAGTGACTGATGAATGACCACATTTTGTTTCCCTGCCCCATTTCTAAAATTGCATAAAAGTGGGTTTGCTTGCTATAGCAAAGCATCACTAAACTCAATTATGTATTCTCTTCTCAGAAACATTTGTATCTAACATAATCAGCCAAATAAAGTATTTGTCTTTGCTTTTCCCCTCTGTAGTTTAAGTATGCATATAATACTATTACACAGATACTTAAGAAGTTTTTCTGTAACCATTCTATAGTGCTTCTTAAATTCTTTAAGTAATTTTCAAAGGGCTATGGGATCCCCTGTGAATTCAAATATTTTAAGATCTTTAATACAAAGAATGTAAAGTCATGGTTTAGTATCAAGCTTTGAAACCCGGTGAGACAGTTAGTGAGAGTTTTCTCCCAAGTAGCATATCATATCTCCTAAATAGCTTCTTTCTTTATATTGATCTTATTACATAAGAGCCTCTTTGTGGTGCCTCATAATATGCTGATTTTTTTCTGATGGTCTTCGGAATCCCTTCTTGCAGAATTCACACCTGTGTGGATAGTCTTTTGTATGTATTGATATCACATGTCGTTTAAAGCCAGATGCATCTGTAGTGCTGTATTCACAATACTCACATTGGTAAATCTTCCTTCCAGTATGGGTCTTCATATGTTTTTTTAGCTCATTTTGTTGTCTGAATCCTCTCTTGCACCTTTTACATTTCAATGGCTGATCTTTAGTATGAACTGAAAGGATATGGCCACTAAGAATAAATGGATCGGATGTTTTAAAGTCACAGTGCCTGCACTGATGAATCTTCCTACCCTTATGGATATCACTATGCTTTTTGAGCTCAGAAGGACGATGAAAACCTTTATCACAGACCTCACATTTGTGAGGAAAATCCTTAGTATGGACAGATATGATGTGCCGCTTAAGGTCACTTGAATTGGTGCTCTTATGGTCACAATGAGGACACTGGTGTGTCTTATGTCCTTGAAACAAATCCAGATGGCGTTGAAGCTCCCTCTCATCACCAAATGCTTGGGGACAATGCTCACATTTATATGGCAAATTGTTACCATGTTTAGACTTAATGTGAGTTTTCAGATTTGATTGATCTGCACACCTGAAAATACAATACTGACACTGATATGGCTTCTCACCAGTATGGGTTCTCATATGTTTCTTGAGTTCAGAAGGATGTCGAAAACCCTTCCCACACTCAACACAAACATGAGGAAAATTCTTGCTGTGAACGGCCAACAAATGCCTGTTTAACAGTCCTTGTTCTGCAGTTTCATAGTCACAGTATTTGCACTTGTGCATCTTCGGCTCCTTGTCTCTTAAAATAAGTTTATTGGAACTCAGTGGACTAGCCTCTCTGTATCTTCGTGTGTATTCTGTAAATTCATGGGTTTTGTCGACTTTGTTTATGAGCTTATGGCTTTCTAAGTGGTTATGGAAACTCACTTTCTTGTTAGTTGTAAAGTCACAATCTGTACACTGATATTTTTTTCTCATTAAATGATCAGGATGATTCTTCATGTGTCTTTTTAAGAATCCCCTGGATTTAAACTTTTTTGTGCAAATATGGCAAGGGTACACTGTGAGGGGCTGTCCATCAGGACCTATTATAACAGCTAGATAAAGAAAAGAGAAAGTTGTGACATTTGGTCAGACTGTTTTAAAGGATTTTATAACAAAGGTGCCAAAACTAGTTGGCATTCACTATGTGAAAACAATACTAGTTGAATGAAATCCTGTAATATAAAAAATACATAATAAAAGCAATTTATGGCAAAGTAGCTCACTAAAAAGTAATGAGCAGCACTCTACTATGAACCACTCACATGCCAAAATGCAATATCATATATACTTTGAATACCAAAAACAGGTACCCTTTATTGTTAAACCAACCTGAAAATTCTCTGTAAAAGTATCTTTGGAATAAAGAGCAAACAAGCATAGTTTTATTAAGTACCAGTCACACAAAGTAAAAAAAAAAAAAAACAATTATCTATAGCATACACAAACAGGTACATGGAGAGTAGAACTGCCAAGTAAACCATCGATATTTTTCTTTGGTGACAAAAAATACTTCCACATCTCAAATAATTATAATATTCATAAAGCAAAGTATTTACCTGTTTGCCACTGCCTGGTTTCTCCCCTTCTCCTCTTTTTGGCTTTTTGTTTAAGTACTTTATTTGTATTAATGCCGTCACAAATTTGAAGGTACTGTGCTGCTGTACTACTTCTGCTTTCTAATGCTGAGTCCAAAGTATTTCCTGGAAAAAAAAATTGAAACATCATTAAATCACATACATTTATACTTTTTTGGTTCTGTTGAATGAGTTACTACAGATGACATGACACCAAGTTACCACTCTGGTAGTAAATTTCACAAAGTATATCCATCTTATGATTCTCTTTCTCTCTCTCACTCTTGTTCTCTCTCACTCACAAGTAAAGACATGTATTTGTAAATACTTTGAATAGGATATCATGTGAAATTAACTTTAAAATATCTCAATTTGATCATCAATTAAATTTAAAATATCTCTATTTTATCAGGAATAAACTGATAAGATGAATGTAATATAAGAAAGTGGATTTGGGGTGGGCATGATGGCCCACACCTGTAATCCCAGCACTTTGGGAGGCTGAGGCAGGACTGCTTGAGGTCAGGAGTTTCAGTCCACCCTAGGCAACATAATAAGATCCTGTCTCTACAAAAAACAAATTGGTCAGGCATGGTGGCATGCACCTGTAGTCCCAGCTACTCAGGAGCCTGAGATGGGAGGATTGCTTGAGCCCAGGAGTTCAAGGTTGCAGTGAGCTATGATTGTGCTACTGCACACCAGTCTCGGTAACAGAGCAAGAAGACCCTGTCTCTTGAAAAAAAAAAAGAAAAAAGAAAGAAAGAAAGAAAAAGAAAAAAAAGAAAGAAAAGAAACTGAATTTGAAACAAAATCTTGGCATCAGACCAATTTTTTTTTACCAATGAAGGCTGATGAAATTAATTGAAAAAGAAATGTAGACATATTACTGAACCATTATAGTTATGGTGACTAAGTGTAATGCATAAAAAACGAAACAGATCTCTTGCAGATATGCTTCAGAATAGTGTACTTGATATAAAGAGTACTACATATTAAGATTGATTTTACGGGTTAACATATGGTAGGCAATTTATTGCAATTTCAGTGTGATCAGTGCATACATTAAAAAGTACTTAATAAAATCCTAGTTATCAAAAATCCATTGTGGTTTTATGCAATTTAGCTAAAAAATGTAGACCTACAAAACTGTCAGGTTAACTTACATGCTGTGATCTATACTTCTCATCAATTTCTCGAAATCAACACCTAAGTTTAGAGAGTCAAATACTTCCCAAGGGTAGAAACAGAACAATGACACATTATCATAAGAAAATATCTCCTTGCTTAAGAAAACTTAACAAGAAGATCAACTAGAGAACAACACCATATAGAGTGTATTAAAACTAAAAAAAATTAAGCTGACACATGGGTTTTATATAACAGTTATATATAAATGCACTGGTTGCCATAGAAATTAAGAAAACAGTTCTGCCCCAAAAAGAACATTAACAAGGGGTTGATATCATGAATAATTTTTACTTTTCTGTCCAAATAATTTCTTATTTCATTTTTTCCATAGCAACCTGTTATGGTCCATTTGATAAACTGCCTGATGCTTAAAGTTTGAGGGAAATCTAAATGGAACTGCATTTACAGATTAACACACATTATGTCCACACATAAATTAATTCCTCAAAGAAGAAACTCCTAACTAACTAGATTAGGTATGACTAAGCAAGTAAGAGTCCAACAAATGTGTCTGTAGACACAAACTTGTTACTTACCAAGCAGTAAAATAAAATAAAGCCAGAACTTTAACTCACATCTCATATACAATGCTCTCTTACCTGATGCTTGACAATCTTCATACCTTCGGGAAACTCTTCTTTCATCTCCTAAAAAAAAAAAAAAAAAAAAAAAGACCAATTACAAACTGATATGCTAATTATAATGACTACTAGTGGATCACATCTTAATCTACAAAATCTTACTTTGCCCACCATTCCTTGGGTTAAAAAAAATTGTTGTGTTCTTCCACTCCTATAGGTTAGATAATGTCACATACTGAAAATAAGGGCTGCTGTTCAGCATCCTTGGAATTGTTAACATCTAGAACAATTTTACTTTTTAAATGAAAACTGGGTAGATATTTCTGCAGTGTACCCCTAACTTTGAAGATGCTCAATAAATAACTGAATGAATGAACCTTTGGAAGAACCAAGTTTAGATAAATTAATGCATTTGAACATCAAAATTTTTCAAAGTAAAGAGTATACCTGGACCATCTTGTACGTTACATAGGAATGAAATAAAATAAGACTGAAAGGGAAAAATAAGTTGATAAATTTACCTTTCATTATATGCTTTCTAAAAGAGCATACCTGGGTTTCTGTTTCTTTTTCAAAACCCCAAAACTTTATCATCTGTAGAGTTAATAAATGAAATAAGTTTTTCCAAAAGAGGAAGGATCGATTTTCAAAGGATATTCCTATTTTAGAAAAATAAAATTTTTTATGGCACTCACTTATACAGGTAGGATTTAAAATAGATCATACTGAAAAACATAATGCATTAAGCAAGGTTCATTTTAAATAGTACAAGGTATGTGGTAGAAAAATCATCTAAAGTAACTAGAGATGAATCAGTCCACAGTGTAAAACATTTTATTATATTAGCCAATTCATGGTGGCATTCACAAAGCTTATTTAATGGCCTAAAGGCTGAGTAAATACATATTATGTACTTATCAGGTGAAAAAATGCCAGTATCCTACCATATGCCGCAGCCCAGACAACAGGGACAACTGTTTTATTAACATCAGAGTCCTCAAGCTGAATCTCAGGGAGAGAAGTTCCTTCCTCTTCCCCTACAATGACTTCCATGTAAACTTCATCTGCTATTTCAGCGCAACCTAAATTTTAGAAATAATTGCTTGTTTATAACCCCAAATATTTAATAAGTGGGTAAAAATTCCAAACAATGTAAATCTTTCAACTTTCAAATTTCAGTTTGGTTAATTTAAAAATTTATAAATTTAATTTCAATTTATATTAGGCACTTTTGGAGGCTAGTGCCACTAGGAGACAATCATTTACCAAAACTCTTATTCTCCTCTTAGAACCAAGTTCTATGGAAATGGCTTTTAAAAATTTTATAAAAACATGTGCGCTTGAAATATACTGAATGATCTTACATTCTATCAGGCATTATACATTTATTTGCCTGACAGTCTTTTGGGACTCAGAAAATATTTCTCATAGAAATAATACTAGAAAGTGGTCCATACTATCTCGTATACTGTATTATAAATGAAATGCAGTACTATACATGTAATAAAAATCACCAAAAATACTTGTAATTGAAAAAAATTTAAAATAAAAATAAAAATTATATATGTATATAATGCTAGTGATCAAGAATATGTGGACACTCTTCAATAGGCCAGATTTTAAGAGATTCTACTGAGGAGAGAAAGCATTAAATGAGCTTCATTGAACAAAACAATATTGCGGTAAGAAAAAAAAAATATTTAAACCTAGAGAGCCACAATATACTTTATATAAAATAATCTGTTTACATTTAACTTGTTAAATAGAAAATTGTCTTGAATTTTTGCTTTTCCTTTGATTCACATACTGGGATCCTGGATGACTACAGAAGAAATGTGGGGAAAAACATGGGAAAAAAGTATCCCTCTTCTCCCAAGTTTGTCTTCTCTCTATTAACCAAAAAGAGACACTGGTCTAAGTTTCCCACATTCCCATAGAATTCTGGCATAAGTTAACTTAAACCTCAATCTTCCATTTCCTACTGTGCCCCTTTCCTTACCAATAAATAAAAAAATAAAGAATTTAGAGATCAAATAGAAATTATTTGATTAAACTCTTTTCCTATCCATCAGAATCTTCTCCACTCATTTGTTTTGATATTTTCAGCTGTTTGGGGGTGGAATTCAGCACCCTACAACTTCTAGGGAAGGAAACTTGGAGTAGGTATCAGAGTGCAGCACAGGTAAAGCCCAATATTGTCAAGTTAATGCAGTGAAATGGAGGCTCTTAGCCTTCTAGGGCAAGGCAATATTGTGTTTTTCTCAGCATAGTAAGAAGACAGGAATAGCCTTAGGAAAGGGCTGCATTCCTATACTGAGGTGAGGAGAAAGTAGGCAGAGAGCAAAATGTCTTCATAAGGAAACCTGCGGTATGGCAGGAAAGGAAACCTGAGGAGGTTTGATCGTCCTGTGGTACTTAGCCCCACAAAACCTTAAGCAGCAACTGCTTGGAGACCATCAACAGCATAGGAAATCAAACTCCTGGCAGCTTGGCTTGGAAGAATACTTACATAAGATAACCCTTTAGTGACAGGAGAACAAACCATCAGCCCTTCAATTGCTAAATCCAGAGAGAAGCCAACAGTGCCCACTGCCATGTGGAAAGAACATTGGCAGTGGAGTTAGATAACCATTAAAATCCTGCCCTTCACACTTAATATTGGAATGATCTTGGATAAATTATTTTCCCTGAATCTTTTTTTTTCCTTCCATAAGACAGGAAAAATACCACCTACCTCAGATATGAGTTGTAAGAATTAAATGAGATAGTATCTTGCAACATATTCAGTAACGCACAGAAAGTAGGTACTCAGTAATTACATATTTTTGAGCTTCACTGATGTCAGGAGCTGTATGTTGTTCATCTCTGTATTTCTAGTATAGTATACTAAGATATATTATTTAATGTTTGGTGATTTGAACAATACATGTACAAATGAATGGTCAAAAGGACCCTTCACTTTTAAATTATTTACAGCAAAGGGTCAAAGGATCAGGCTTATTTTATTGAACTTTGTTCCTATACAGTGCTTGTATCTCTGAGATTTTTTAAAAATAATGCATGATGGCTACTGATAAGTCACTACAGTGCCCTTATTTTCTTACTGATATCATCTTCTTCTTGAGAAGAATCTTTAACTGCCATGTAAACCATCTTCTCCCGCTGCATTCGGCTCTGGTCAAGCACTCCAGCTACTGAATGTCCACTGGTGTACTCACTCTCTGTGACAATTTCTGTTCCACCTTAAAAATTAAAACACGCATTAAAATAGAGAAGTATCATGGAATAACCACCTAAATTAATAAGAAGAATATATAGAAATATTTCTTAGAAAAAAAATAAATTCCAAAATAAATTTCAAAGTGCCAAGAACATTTTCATATAAATTATACTTTAAATTTTCAGCTATCACTGAGAAATGACAATTGTTAATCCTTACATCAAGCTTATATGCCAAGCAGTATATAAGTCTTTTATACATATTTACCCCTTTAACCCTCACAACAGCCCTATAGGTAGCTTTTATTATTATGAGAATTTTATGGATGAGGAAACAGACAGAAGGGGGTTAAGTAATTTATCAAAGGTCACTCAGCTAAGTGACAGGACCTATTTAAAACCCAAGCAGCCTGCCTCTAGAATCCATGCTTGTAAACACTCATTATAGTTTCTTAATCTAAACCAAATCCTCTCCAATCATTTGTTTTGATATTTTCTGCTGCAGTATTCTACTCATGCTTGAAAGAATCAAAGAATGACATATTCTGCATTCCTGCTTTATATTCATATACAATTTTTAAAAGTAGACTATTCCCAAAGAAAACGTATTAAAAAAACCCATGCTTTGAGAACATTTTTAGACTAGTCCCCAGAAAATATAATAAATTATAACTCCTATTGGAGCAATAAATTAAAATTAGTGTTTGTACCTATTTCAACATCATCTTCAGCCTCCGCTTTAAATATATACACTTTTATAACTTCAGAACCAAACCCATCTTCTTTAGCATCTTCTTGTGAACCATCACTGCCAATTTTTAATGGTGTATTCCCCATATGCTCTAATTTTTCTCCAACATCATCCACTATAAAATATAAACAAAATTATTTCAGTCAAAAAATACCATTGACAAAAAACAACAAAACAAGAAAAATTACCACTATTTAGTGGGTGTTAAGCTGAAGTGTAACGTGAAATAATGTTAACCACCTACCCACTGTATTCACTTAATAACCTATTATGAAGCCATTAAAAGTGTTATGATTCATGAATAATAGACATTAGGGACTTCAAAAAGGTGGGGGGAGAGGAGATTATGAGGTTTGAAAATTTATCTATTGGATACAATGTTCACTATTCAGGTGATAGGTACACTAGAAGCCCAAACCCCACCACTACACAATATTACATCCATGTAATAAACCTGTACCTGTGCAACATAAATCTGCAACAATAAAATTATTTTTAAAATTTAAAAAAGCATCAAGGTTCATGGAAAAACAGTACACAAGATCAGTTATATTACATAATCGCAATTATATAAAAATCTATTTACAGATTTCAATTAATAGATACAAAATACTTAACCATATAGCTTTAATTAAAACGGCTTCAAATTCTATCACTTTCAATATTTTAAGGTAAATCCTAACACTAAATTTAATAACAGAAAAATTAAGAACATAAAACATATATTACTCATAAAATGAGTTCACATAAACTACAGTTCCCAAATTAAATAGTGGTTGTTTCTAAAACAAATTAGCATACAAGATCTAGGATTAAAAAAAGAAACACAGAGAACACCTAAGTGACTATAAAAACAGGTTTTCATACATCATGGAAATAAAATCTTAGTAAATACTCTAATTTCTGCAGGGTCAATGGAAGACAACTTCAAGCCATGAATTTTGTATATATCTAGATTTTGCAATGTATGCTTTATTTCAAAATTATATGTAAGGGAAATAAATGGGTATTTCCCCCTCTTTTTCCTTATTAAAAGAAAATCATATATAAAGATAAGGCAACAGTATTTGGACCTATTGCTTACATTTTAAATACACTTAAAATTTTTGATTCTCCACTGTATAGTCTTTTAGGATAACATTTAAGTTCACATGAATACTATGCATGAACTATGCAATGAATAGATTAATAAACTCTGTCCTCTGACCATAAATAATATTCAAACAATATATGCCTCCTAAATATTATATGCCTATAATTTATTCTTTTAATGCTGTTCCTATAAAAACACAAATGTAATCTAAATTGAAAATCTACTCCTCCTTATTATATATATGTAACAGTACTAAATATGAAACATCAAATTTTGAAGCCCCTACATACATCTAACAATTCTAGAACCATTAAAAACAGAATAAAGTGACATTAAAAAGCTATTAATTCAGCACTCCTAAAAACAATTTTAGCAAGATCTAAATGGGTCAAAGTCTAGATTTTCCTTACTTTAGTTTCAAACTTGATACATACAACTTGAAAAATATTCCTTAGGCCTTTCAAAATAGTGGAAAACAACACATATTAAAAATTATTTTTACATTGCAGAGCTACTTTAACTTTGTGATTAAATACAAATGATTCTATCCTACTTCCAAATTTTAATAGCTTACTGTCTATGAAAGATAGCATCCAAATGATCAAAATAAAGTCTACATATTTTCATTCCATCAGAGCTCCTAATTATATTACTAAACTTTTGGCAACATTTTTGACAATGGTACAAATTAAAATAAAAAAAGATTAAGTATTTGATATTACTGGCTTAATAGCTTCTCTTATAAAATAATGTTGAATAAAAATGACATAGAAAAAATCATGAGTAAGTTTTTAGAAAAAAACTATATTCTCATTAATTAAAAACAGAATATAAAAAAACTTCAAAAAGTGTCCAAAATACAAACTTTTAGGCTGAAATAACTTATGGTAAATTAATAAAATAATAAAAATACTCTCATTTTATAAATTCTACTTTATTATACATGAATAGTTTAAAGCGATCACAGTTCCTTCTGGGATAAGCTGAGTTAAAACTATAATTCACAAAATTAAAGTTCATGAAATGAAAGTCACATTTTTTTCACCACTTCTTAATAGTTTTGTACCATAATTTTAGCAATAAGTATGAAATTACTAATACTATTCTCTCTGATTCCATTTCTACCTTTTCTTAAGGTTCATACTTTTAAATTTAATGCATCCATTAATTTTTACTTAGATTCCTCAGAATGAGCAATTTTGAAATGTACTAACTGAACTTATTCTGTATTTTAAGTTCACAGAAAATGATAAAATTATTAAAGATATTGGCACGCAGTTTTAAGAGGTAAACCATCAACTTGACCAAGATTTATTCTATATCCTTCGTTATGGAAAGTACGAAATTAACAAAGACTTAATAGGCAATCAACTGACTTTAGAAATAAATCTCCAAAGGCCCTTCTAAATGCAGATAATACTCAAAATACCTTAAATTCAAGCTTAAATGTTTTGCTTGTTGTAAGGTATGCAATATTCAAGTCCAATAGTGTTGTTTCTCAATCCAGCAATAAGTAATAAAATAACCACCACAGAATTCTTCTGGCACTAAATATAATATAAGAAAGTGAAGTGCATTGTTTGCCAACACTGTAAAGTTTGGTAACATTCAATATTATTTTATGGCCCACTCACACAATTTAATTAAAATTTCATTTTAGTCAAATGTACAATATAACATTCCTTTTTAAAAGTTAGGTAGGCTTTTTATTTTACCTGTTGCATGTTACTTACATCTACCAAAATTATATGGTGAGTATGGTATAAAAACTATACAGTATACTGATATACCACAGTGATGGGATTAGGCAATATACAAAGAATCTGTATTTCACAATAGAGTGAAAAAGTGAACAACAAGATAGTCACCTTTAGATTTCAGAGTTATGCCACTCCCAGGTATATACCCAAGAAAACTAAAAATATACACTCACATAAAAACTTGTACATAAATGTTCATGGAGCATTATTCATAATAGCCAAAAAGTGGAAACAACCTAAATGTCCATTAACTGATGGATGAATGGATAAACAAAATGTGATAATACCCATATAATGGAATGTTATTAGTAATACTGAATGAAGTACAGTTGACCCTTGAATAACATAGGTTTGAATTGTGCAGGTCCACTTATCCATGAATTTTCTTCTGCTCTGCTACCTCTGAGACAGCATGACCAACCCTTCTTCCTCTCCTTCTTCAGCCTACTCAATGTGAGGACAATAAGGATGAGGACCTTTATGATGACCCACTTCCACTTAATGAATAGTAAATATATTTTATTTTCCTTATGATTTTAACATTTTCTTTCCTCCAGTTTACTTTATTGTAAGAATACAGAATATGATACATATAACATACAAAACATGTTAATTGACTGTTATTGGTAAGACTTCTGGTCAACAGTAGGCTGTTAGTAGTTATGTTTTTGGTAAGCTGAAAGTTACATATGGCTTTTCAACTGTGTGTATGTCAGCAGGGGGGGCGGGGTTCAGCACCCTTAACCCCTGCATTGTTCAAGGGTCAAATGTACTGATATATGCTATGACATGAATGACCCTTGAAAACATTATGTGAAGTAAAAAAAGCCAGACATAAAATGCCACATATTGTATAACTCCATTTATATGAAATATCCAGGATAGGCAAATCTATACAGGCATGGTTGCCTCAGAGTGGATGGGGGGGGGGCTAACAGCTAAAGGGTATAGGGTTTCTTTTTGTGGTGATGAAAAAGTTCTAAAATTGATTGTGGTGATGGTTGTACAACCCTGTGAATATATGAAAAACCACTTATTTGCACACTTCAGATGGGTAAATAAAAGGATGTGTAAATTATATCTCAAAAAAGTCATTATAGTTTTTAAAATTATAAAGGTGTTAACTTTTTTTACCCCTGAAATTAGGGAGGTTTGAATGAGATCTCCCATCATGATGTTAACAAGATATTTTGCTTTATACAAAATTATGTTCCTTAAGCAAGAATCCTCAAGAAAATACTAGTAAACTAAATTCAACAGCACATCAAAAAGTTAAAACACCATGATCAACTAGGTTTCATTCCAAGGATGAAAGGGTGGTTCAACATATGCATATCAATAAATGTGATTCACCACATAAACAGAATTACAAGCAAAAACCATGTGATCATTGCAGTAGATATGGGAAAAGCTTTTGATAAAATCAGAATGTATTAGCCCTTCATGATAAAAACCCTCAAGAAACTAGGCATCAAAGGAACATATCTCAAAATAATAACAGCCATTTATGACAAACCCAAAGCCAATATCGAACTGAATGAGCAAAAACTGGAAGCATTCTTCTTGAGAACTGGAATAAGACAAGGATGCCTACTCTCATCACTCCTATTCAGCATAGTACTGGAAATCCTAACCAGAGCAATCAGGCAAGAGAAAGAAATAAAAGACATCCAAACAGTAAAATAAGTCAAACTATCTCTCTTTGCTGATGATATGATTCTATACTTAGAAAACCCTAAGGACTCTGCCAAAGGCTATTAGAACTGATAAACAATTTTATTAAGGCTTCAGGATACAAAATCAATGTACAAAAATCAGTAGCATTTCTACACACCAACAACATCCAAGCTGAGAGCCAAATCAAGAATGCAATTACATGTACAACAGCCTCAAAAAAATACCCAGGAATATATTTAACCAAGGAGGTGAAAAACCTCTACGAGGAGTACTATAAAACACTAATAAATGAAATCACAGATGACACAAACAAATGGAAAAACATTCCATGCTCAAGGATTGGAAGAATCAATATCATTAAAATGGACATACTGCCCAAAGCAATCTACAGATTCAATGCTATTCCTATCAAACTACTAACGTCATTTTCACAGAATTGGAAAAAACTACACTAAAATTCATAAGGAACCAAGAAAGAAATAGCCAAAATAACCCTAAGCAAAAAGAACAAAGCCAGAGACATCAATTATCCAACTTGAAACTACACTACAAGGCTACAGTAACATAAACAGCATGTTACTAGTACAAAAACAAACACATAGACCAAAGGAACAGAAAAGAGAACCCATAAACAAAGCCACATAACTACAACCATCTAATCTTTGGCAAAATCAACAGAAGTAAGCAATGGGAAAGGACTCCCTATTCAATAAATGGTGCTGGGATAGCTGGGAAGCCATATCCAGAAGAATGAAACTGGACCCCTATGTTTCACCATACAAAATTTAGCCAAGATGGACCAAAGTTTAAAGATAAAACCTCTAGACATAAGAATCCTAGAAGAAAACCTAGTAAACACTATTCTGGACATTGGCCTCGGGAAAGAATTTATGACTAAGTCCCCAAAACCAATTGCAACAAAAGCAAAAATTGACAAGTCAGAACTAATTAAACTAAAGAGCTTCTGCACAGCAAAAGAAACTATCAACGGAGTAAACAGACAACCTACAGAATGGGAGAAAAATATTCACAAACTATGCATCGGACAAAGGTATAATATCCAGAATCTACAAAGAACTTAAATCAGCAAGCAGAAAACAAGTAACTCCAATAAAAACGGGGAAAAGGCATGAACAGACACTTCTCAAAAGAAAACATACAAGTGGTCAACAAACATAGGAAAAAAATGTTCCACATCACTAATCATCAGAGAAATGCAAATCAAAACCACAGAGACATCACCTCACACCAGTGAGAATGACCATTATCATTATTATTATTATTATTATTATTTTGCTTGTTCATACTGACAAGCTATTTTTTAAAATGTTTTTATTTCAATAGCTTTTTGGGGAATAGGTAGTGTTTGGTTACATGAATAAGTTCTTTAGCGGTGATTTATGAGATTTTAGTGCACCCATAACCTGAGCAGCGTACACTGTACCCAATGTTTACTCTTGTATCCTTCACCACCCACAACCCTTTCTCCCGAGTCCCCAAAGTCTAATGTATCATTCTTATGCTTTGCATCCTCATAGCTTAGCTCCCATATATGAGAGAAAACATATATTTGGTTTTCTGTTCCTGAGTTACTTCACTTAGAATAACAGTCTCCAATTCCATCTAGGTTGCTGCAATGCCATTATTTCATTCCTTTTTATGGCTGAGTAGTATTCCATAGTGTACCACATTTTCTTTATCCACTCGTTGATTGATGGGCATTCCGGCTGGTTCCATATTTTTTTGCAATTGCAAATTGTGCTGCTATGAACATGCATGTGAAAGTATCTTTTTTGTATAATGACTTATTTTCCTCTGGGTAGATACCTAGTAGTGGGATTGCTGGATCAAACAGTAGATCTAGTTTTAGTTCCTTAAGGGATCTCCACACTGTTTTCCATAGTGGTTGTACTAGTTTACATTCCCACCAACAGTGTAAAAGTGTTCCCTTTTCACTGCATCCATGCCAACATCTACTATTTTTTTATTATGGCCAGAATGGCCATTACTAAAATGTCAAAAAAACAACAGATGTTGGTGAGGCTGTGGAGAAAAGGGGACACTTAAACACTGTTGGTGGGATGTAAATTAGTTCAGCCACTGTGGAAAGCAGTTTGGAAATTTATCAGAGAATTTAAAACAGAACTACCATTCAACTCAGCAGTCCCACTCTGGGTATACATCCAATGGAAAACAATCATTCTACCATGAAGACACACACAGTTGTGTGTTCATCACAGCATTATTTACAATAGCAAAGACAGGGAATCAACCTAGGTGCCCATCAACAGTGGACTGGATAAAGGAAATGTGGTACATATACACCACAGAATACTACACAGCCGTAAGAAAAGAAGAAATCACGTCCTTTGTAGTAATATGGATGCTGCTGTGGGTCATTATTCTAAGCAAATTAATGCAAGAACAGAAAACCAAATACTGCATGTTCTCACTTATAAGAGAAGTCTAAACATGGGGTCCTCATGGACATAAAGATGGCAACAACAGACATTGGGGATTACTAGAGGTGGGAGGGAGGGAGTGGGGCGAGGACCAAAAAACTAACTGTTGGGTACTATGCTCAGTACCTAGGAGATGGGATCATTCATACCCGTACAAATCCTAAAATAAAAGTTGAAACCAAACAAATCAACAAAAAATAAAATTATATTCCTCAAAGGAGTCCTTGTATTTGATATATGAGGTAGTTATCAAAATAATTATTCTAACTTAGAATATTCCAGAAACTTTTTTAAAAAACTTTTGCAGAATTAAATCATAGAAGATAACACAAGGTATGACTGTTCACAATACATGACATCTAAATTTTGCACTACTTTAATATCAGTTTAAATTAATGAATACTCTTTTGAAGACATACTGAATTTTAGTGTAGACTACCAACTTTTGCCACATCATTTTACATGATAACCATACTATAGATCTTTTAAAAAATGCCACGTTAAGATGTAAATATGGAGTTGCTTTAGTAATCTATATCTATTTAAAAATAGGTAACAATATTTGCAGTCTTTTAGTGGCTTACATTATTTTCTTAAAAACAATGTAAAAATTCACCTTCAAAAGTGCTTATAGAAGAAAAAAGTTATGCTAAACTTTACAATTAAATTCACAAATTAAATAAATTTAGTTTATTTTCAGTTTTAAATTCACTAATACACATATACATACGATCACTTTATACACACATACACACACACACTCTACCTGGTGATAAACTTCCCAGTCAACCATTTTTGTATTTTAAAAAGAATAAAAATCTTCCCTGGATAAGTCAAAAAAAATTGTCTAATCTTAACTACTTGTAGCATGATCCCTTCAAATTTAATAACTAATATACCTACTTCTTTAAGCTCCATCAATAACTTATCAAGATATTTTTTATTTTTGTTGCTGCTCTCATAAACCCATCATTTAAAATGAGAACAAAATATTTCTATCTTCCCGCTTCGGATAGAATGTTTTAAGAATCTTGCAAAGCAGTCTAAAATAAACATGTTAAATAGCTTTGCATAAAATATACACACACATATTTAGGCATAAGCAATATAAACACAGGGAGAACTGTAGGACATTATCTGAGTTTATGATTTACTTTTCAAGTATTTAATTTAAAAATCAATACATTTCTTAACATATTCTGCTTAAGTTCCTAAGAAAAACTTAATTGACAATTTCAGTGCCTGTCATATTAAAAAAAAGCAGTGGCTACATAAGAAAGTTCCCATGTTGAAATATATATATTTATCATTAAAATTTTGTATCAGTTAATGTTCTTGTTGTTGCCAAATCTATACCTCTATTTTAAGATACTAATAAACTGCATTATTTTACTTCATTTCAGGTATGAATTTTCATTGAATAAATTAAAAACATCAGTAAACTCAAAACAGCATCTTAATGACACTGCTTCAAAAAATTATTTTTCAAAAAGATTCCCCTATAACTTTTATTGAATATATCCCTCATCCCAGAAAACTTTTCCAGATTATATAAATCAATCTCCTGAGTAATTATGGGCTTTATGTTTCACTTACAAGATATCATTAAGTAGTCTTCAGAAGTGCTCTTGACATCATCATCATCATCATCTTCGGTTTTTATAGTAACTGTAGAACCAGGAACACCTCCAGCTGCTTGAATCACAGTTTCTGTATCTGAATTAGTTACAAGAACCTCCTCTGATACCATTGTGGGAGAGTCGACTCCTGAAACACAATCTTGGACCACATGTTCTAAGTGTCCATTAGGACCAGTAACAAGGTCAGCCACGAAAACCTGCTCTGGTACCCTAACGGTTTCTGTAATTAGTTCAGAAGTCAAGATGTGATCACCATCATCTTCCTCTAAATCCTCTTCAATGGCAACATCAGCTTCAAGTACCGCTTCAGGAACAATCACACCTTCTGTTACTACATCAGTCTCTGTGATGATATCAGGTCCATGGACAACTTCAGCTGCAAGGCCATGATCAAGAGTTATCCCATCATCTGTGACAACATCAGAAACTAAAACAGCTTCAGGAACTGAAACAACAATATGGTCTCCATCGATATGTGCAGTACCAGCCATTCCAGCCACTATAATACAAACAATTATCCAAAAAAGGTAAAGTTATTTTATTAATTTAGAGTACTGTATTTAATAAATCAAATGCTATAAATATTTCTTAAATATTAAGTAATCTTGGCCAAATAAATCATTTTTTAAAATCATTGACAATTTAACTGCAATTAAAATCACCAACAACCAGGAATTGGGTTAGAGTTGGGTGAAAACGATGTTAGTAAAATCTACATGAAGACCTTAAAATAATATACTTTATTTTCAAGTAAAACATAAAAGCCATAATGAGATATCACTACATTCCAATTAAAACAGTTAACACAAAAAACAGTGATAGCACCATAGGCTGGTGAGGATGTGGAGAAACTGGATTTCTCAAACGTTATTGGTGCAAACGTAAAATAGTAGCAGCCACTCTCGAAAATAGTTTGGCGATTTCTTTTTTTCTTTTTCTTTTTTTTTTTTTTTTTTGAGACGGAGTCTCGCTCTATCGCCCGGGCTGGAGTGCGGTGGCGCGATCTCGGCTCACTGCAAACTCCACCTCCCGGGTTCACGCCATTCTTCTGCCTCAGCCTCCTGAGTAGCTGGGACTACAGGCGCCCGCCACTGCGCCCGGCTAATTTTTTTTTTTTTTTTTTTTTTTTTTTTTTTTTTTTTTTGAGACGGAGTCTCGCTCTGTCGCCCAGGCCGGACTGCGGACTGCAGTGGCGCAATCTCGGCTCACTGCAAGCTCCGCTTCCCGGGTTCACGCCATTCTCCTGCCTCAGCCTCCCGAGTAGCTGGGACTACAGGCGCCCGCCACCGCGCCCGGCTAATTTTTTGTATTTTTTTTAGTAGAGACGGGGTTTCACCTTGTTAGCCAGGATGGTCTCGATCTCCTGACCTCATGATCCACCCGCCTCGGCCTCCCAAAGTGCTGGGATTACAGGCGTGAGCCACCGCGCCCGGCCTAATTTTTTGTATTTTTAGTAGAGATGGGGTTTCACCGTGTTCGCCAGGATGGTCTCGATCTCCTGACCTCGTGATCCACCCGTAGTTTGGCGATTTCTTACAAAACTAAATATGCACTTACTATACAATCCAACCATTGCAATCTCGGGCATTTTTCCCCAGAAAAATGAAAATATATGTTTATACCAAACACTGTACAGAAATATTCCTAACAGCTCATAGTAGCTATTACTCATAGTAGCAAAAAATTAGACACAACCCAAGTGTCCTTTAGCAGGTGAATGGTTGGTTCCACCAACTCTGGCACATCCCTACTATGGAATACTACCCAGCAATAAAAATGAACACACTGTTGATATATTCAACAACCTGAATTTCCTCCAGAAAATTTTGCTGAGGGAAAAAAAGACAATCACCAAAGGTTATGATACTGTATAATGTATAAATGGAGTAATTTATATTATCTCAAAACAATAAAACTATAGAGATGGAGAACAGATTATTGGTTGCCAAGGGTGTCTGTGTGTGTGTGTGTGTGTGTGTGTGTGTGTGTGTGTCTGTGAACACACAGGGATAGCATATATATAGTGATAGAACAGCTCTGCATCTTCATTGTGGTGGTATTTACACAAATCTATATGTGGGATAAAACTGCATAGAATATATACATTCACATACACACACACGAATATATGTTAAAAATGGTGAAAACTGAATTAGGTCTGTAGTCTAGTTAACAGTAATGTGTGAATGTCAATTTCCTGGTTTTTGTATTATACTACAGTTATGTAAGATGCCACCATCACAGGAAGGTAAGTAAAGGGTACATGGACTGTATGTACTCCTTTGCTCTATTGCTTGTGAGTCTATAATTGTTTCAAAAAATTAAAATAAAAAGGCACAAAAACGTAAAAGGATACTAATATGTTAAGTGAGTTAATAAAATATTCTATTATAAAATATACATCATGAACATGAAAGTGTCTGAACTTCTTTAACTTATAATAATTACTGTATCCAAAATTGGAAGGCATCTTTCAACACCTGATTTAGGGGGAAAAACTCTGTACTCATCTTAGACTAATATTTGGTTTGATAATAGTAAATCTGTAGGAATAAAGCTTTAATGTTTTTCTTGAGCGGCATGGTAAACACCAACTCCTACCTGCCCTGTAAATATTGTACAAGTGTAAAATCCCTTCATGAGGAATTCTGCTAAGTTCTGCTCCCTGAGGTGGTACAAAAACAAATTAAGAGGGCTTGTGGATCTGGTTATAATAAATTATCTACAAGAAATCATCCAGTACAAAACCTTTTGATCACTTTCTATAAAGTAGTACCTGAAAGAGTGTTATTTGTCACATAGTGTTCATTATTTTTAATCAATTCATTATGGAAGTTAGTTACCAAGTTAGGATGGAGACCAATGGACACTAACACATCAAAGAACAAGGTGAAAAGGGAAAGCTGAGCTTTCAACAGCGTTTTTGGGATACTTTACTTTCAACCCTTTTAAATCCTTCTCACCGCTCAAACTCTCACCCAAACCACTAAATTACCCCAAAAGGACACAGCCACAATCCTGGAAGTCTGGTACACGAAGGGAGTATGTATAAAACAAGTATTTTTAATTCAGTTGTTACTCCACTGGGCATTTCAGAAATGGGGAGGAGGTGGGGGTTCAAATTTAGCATTTAATCAGACTAGAAATGTGGTTTTTTAGCAAGGAAAAAATTAAAATATTAATCCTGTAAAATTAACTGTACTGGAATTCTATATATCTAAACAATAAAATTACTAATTCACAAAAATCTTTTCACAAACCAAAGATTTAAAATATGGGAAATTCCATTTATTTTAGAACACTGCTGAAGATTAGTCTGGTTCTTGAAAGTAGACCATAGGGAAGGAAAGAAGGGTAGAATAATGCTAGTGGGGACTTGGTTTCAGATCAACCTGGTTGGGTGGATTCTAAGAGGATAGACTGAAGGAACAGTGCTAGTTCACTTAGCCTCTAGCAGGAACTTACAAGTCAAAATAGATCAGATCTAAAAAACTAAATAAATAAATCCAAATATGTTTGTTTATCCTGAACCAAATGCTCTCAAGGATCCTAGACCAAGAATTGGTAAGTCCCTCACAGGGTAGCAGCAGATTACTTAGACCAAGATCCAAGATATCTCTTATTAAATTTTGCTTGTTCTTCTTACCAGTTCATCTGTTAGATTCCACTGACTTTCTAAACAAAGTCACTTAGCTATAGATTAGCTATATTTATTAAGCACTGACTATCCAACAAGCAACCTGCTAATACAAGTATCATCTCATTTAATCCTCAGAACAACTGTATAAGGTGAGTGCGATTATCCTCATTTTAAATAAGGAGGAACTATGGTTTACAGATGTTATATAAGGTTGCCACAAGGTCCTAGCTGGAAACTGAACTCACTGTTTGACTCCAGACTGCCTTTTTTCTACTTGCCTGGGAAGAGGTTAGAGTATATTTACCCTAGATACTGTTTTTTAAAGAGAGGTGTAAGATTAACTAAGTGAGGCACAGCTAGAGGAACAGCTTGAGATAAACAGTAAAATGGCCTATCACGTGGTAGCTCATTTAAATTTTAAATCATTTCGTAAACAGCATTAAATTGCGTTAATAATTCATCTTACTAGCTTAGAAAATTATAAACAATAAGAAAAAATCATTTAAAAAGTATAAAATTAAATAATCAGGCAACAGTAAGAAACATGTCCTGATTTCCAGTATTTCCCATTTTATTAAAGTTATTCCATTTAAATATGAATACTTGGAACATCACCAGAATGACAGCATAAAATCTGTTACGTGTCAGGTCTGTCTTGGGCCACTATCTAAGGGTGTTTTGCTATTTATATCCTAAAACAACACAGACTTTTTGTAGCATTAAAATCTTAAACAACTATTAAATTCAATCTCATACTTCAAGGACAGCTATTATACTGAGACACCAGCAAGGTTATTGAACAAAGTTGTAAATTTCTAAGTCTCAAATATTCTTCAAAATAAATTGGTCCAATGAATTATGCATTAAATTAATGTTTCAGATTTTCTGTATTGTATCAACCAAGAACCTTACAGAATTTGGAGATCTTGTGCCACAGTGTTCTTATTTGGTTAGCTCTGTGTATGTTAAACTCTAAGTTTCACAAATGTCAATAATTTATGGGGCTGCAAATATCTAAGTTTTGACGCTAACAGAATTTAAAGAGAATGTATCTAATTTCTAATGAAATTTTAGAATTTAGAAATTTTAACAGGGAGGTAAAATAAGCATGGGGGGGCTGCTTTCAGAAGAAATCTAAGTTATCAGGGCTAAAATTTCCAGAAGTCCCCTAATAAAGGTCTTTTTAGGTTTAGGTCTGTTTGACAACCTTTGCATTTCACAAAATATCATACAAAAATGAAAATGCCTATAAATGAAATTGTGCTGGGAACTGCATATCAAAAATAGAGTGAGTTACTGCCTTTTACGAGTTCAGAATTTACCAAGGACAAATGGAAACTTAACATATTTCAAGTCAACATTATCCCTAGGCACAAATGAGTGAGCATTACCCATATTAGTTACTCTTGATCTAATAGCAAATTCAGAAAAACAGTCTCACCAAAAATGCAAAAGTAATTTAACTGCCATTGATTTATATACCTTGATTTAAGAGAGCATAAAAATGAAATTTAAAAAGAATGCATCATTTGAAAAAACCACTAACTCAAAATACTACCAGTTAAATCATAAACAGGTATATAACAACAAAAACAACAATAAGTGCCTTTAAACATTTTTCTGATACAAATCAGTTTACTCAATTAAATTCATTTTAGAGAGGGCTTTAAATGATAATATGAAAATACTAATTAAAAATTAGAAGTAGTTCACAAACCTTTCAATTTTATTATTTCTAAAAAGGGAGGGGATAGTGAACGAAAATCTTACTTTCTACATATTTATGCAGCTATAATTGTGTATAGGTATATGTGTGTATATATATTCTCCTCAATTCAAATGAAAAAAAAATTCCAAGAGGCTCTGCTATTTATTCTGTGGTTTCAGGTATGCCTTGGCATACTGTCACACGCCTCCAAAGGCACTCATACTTCAATCTAAGATGCAAAGCTTATTTTGTCAAACACATAATATTTCTAGTGGATTAAAAATATTTCAACAACCCAAATATCTATCAACTGATAAACAAATAAACCAAATGTGGTGTACTCATACAATGGAATATCATTGGCAGTGAAAACGAATGAAGTATGTACTGATACATGCTATAACATGGATGACACTTAAAAACATGCTAAGTGAAAGAAGCCAGACACAACGACCATATATGATTCCACTTATATAAAATGTTCAGAATAATTAAATCCACAGACAAAGATTAGTGGCTGCCTAGGGCTGGTGGGGAGAGGCAGAATGGGGAATGACTGCTAATGGGTATGAGGTGTCTTTTTTTAGGATATGAAAATGTTCTAAAACTAGGTACTAGTGATGGTTATACAATTTTGTGAATATGCTAAAAACCATTGAATTGTATACTTTATAAAAATGGATGAATGGAATGGTATGTGAATGTATCTGAATAAAAAGTAAAGAAGAAAAAACATATATGTTAAATATTTCAATATGCATATTCTATTCCCCTAACAACTAAAAGAAAAAAAGTAGTAGATGTAATAAAGGAGTAATTAATTCTAAAGACATTGAGGATAAACAATGGAAAGGAAGGTTAAAAGGAACATTATGTAAATATTCACCAGCACCAATCAGATTTTTTTTTCATCTTTTGAAAGGAATCACACTTTACTAGCTAATAGCCAACCTCTTCAGGAATGAAGTGAGTTTTGGCACTTTATCAAATGCTATAGGAGAGGTAATATTTTGTATTAAATGGAGAAACTACTATAATACTTCCATTTTAAAAATATCTTATTTTAAAAGGTAAAAAATTAAAGTTGACATTTCAACCAAAATTTATTTACCATACTGAAATTCCAGTGTTCCATTATTCTAAAAACTATCAACTCTCTACTAAAGAATTCATGGGAATATCTTTAATCTCTTACTCTTTGGCCCTATTATCCTTCCTCTAGAATTTATTGATGAGTTTTTTTCACCCAAAGTCATTTCTAAATCATCCATAGTCAACACAATTCACTTAGCTTTCAGAAGAATACATCCACGATTTCTTTATATTTCATCAATTAACTCACATCCAATATTGTACTACTCAACTTTATTCATCAGAAAGAAACGTCAAAGAATTCTATAACTGGAGAGGACCTTAAATGTTATCTAGTGCAATCATTATAAAAGGGAATTCAGTAATTTATCCAAGTTTACACAGCTAGTTAACAGCACTGCCATGACTAGAATACGGCTTTACTGACTTCCGTTACTGTGGGATTTACTACAGGGGACCAAATGATACATTCAACCATATTATCAACGAACAATAGTAGCATTTTCTTAACTTAGCAAAGTATCACAGTTCTATTCCCTCATCACTAATTTCAGCTTCAACAATTCCATATTACCTCGTTCCCTGTTCTTTTATCGCAGTTCACCATTTGTCTTTTCTGCTTTCACTCCAATCTTATCTTCAATTCTTTTGATCTCATCCCTGCCTTTTATACTTCAAATAGCTCTATCTCCTCTGTAATTCAGATCATCCCTGGCCAAATTCAGTTTATTTGTTGAATGTCAATGGAGTCTTGGCATCCTCATCAAAATGACTACTGTCAAGAGGCTACTTACAAACCTGGCCACAAGAGTAAGGAGTCTTTTTTTTTTTTTTTTTTTTTTTTTGAGACTGAGTCTCATTCTGTCACCAGGCTGGAGTGCAGTGGCACCATCTCAGCTCAGCTCGTTGCAACCTCCGCCTCATGGGCTCAAGCAATTCTCCTGCCTCAGCCTCCTGAGTAGCTGGGACTACAGGCGTGCTCCACCACGCTCAGCTAATCTTTTGTACTTTTAGTAGAGACGGGGTTTCACCATGCTGGCCAGAATGATTTCAATCTCTTGACCTCGTGATCCGCCCGCCTTTGCCTCCCAAAGTGCTGGGATTACAGGCATGAGCCACGAAGCCCGGCCTCTTTTTTTTTTTTAAAAAAAAAAAAGAGAAAGAAAAATGTATTCTAATGGTAACAACTTTCTGAGGAAATAGCATCACAATAATAATCACCTAGTGCATGATTCTGCATATCACTATATAAGCATCTTTTTTTTAGTTGATGTAAGCACTTCTTTTTCCAATTTTATTAACAATGCAACTTAAAATGTGTTTTAGAAAGTCAGTTTAACATTTCCTACACGTGAGAGCTGATATATACTATCAGAACAGAATGTGATATAATTATGCAGTTATTTATGTAAATTGAGTTTTTCATTTCCAGTAACATATTACCACCATATTTCAAGTGTCCCTAACACAACCTTCCCCTAAATTGTAAAAGTGATGTTAAGTAGACCACTGACACACAGCTTTATGAGAATAAGCTCTACAAATATATTTTCCTAGTAAAAGAACAAGTTTTCATTGTAATTCTCCCCTTCCTCAACTTATTTTTGATTTTTATTATCCCCTTACTTCTAAAAAAGAAAAAAATACAACAAAGAAAATGCTTTACCAAAATCTTGCATAATCATGGTATGGGCCATTCTAGAGTCTGGCGTGTGCAATCCAAGACTTCCACCGCCTGAATCCATACTTAGCAAAGTTCATTCACCAATATCTGCAAAAGAAATGGCTTTTAAAATAGTTTAATATATTTAGTCCAAAGTTAGTTGTTTTGAGAAAAAAATGCAATTGACAATATGCCTTTCAACCAAGTGTGGAAAGCTTATTACAAAAGAAAGCAAAACAAAGAAAAACCATGGTTAGATGCTTTATGTGACAACCATAAATAAAAGAAGTGCCAAGTGGAAGTAAACCAAAAATAATGGAGACAAAGGCACAGTCAAGCTGATGAGCCATAGGGAAGTGGTAGAAGAAAGCAAAACAACAAAACTGCAGTGCTAAAAGTTCCAGTTAAAACATAGGTTATAAAAGAAGAACGAGATGACAACAAACAATAGTTAGGATATTTATACATTACTAGAGGACTCAGATGTCTAGTATTAGTGAATTTCATCCACTGGCTCTCATCCATTTCTTCCAGACCCAGATCAGCCCTGCAGCGGAGCTCTGCAGATAAACTTGTATTCACCTCTGGCTCCCAGGGTTCTACTTATAATGTAAAATGTTCTATCCCAGTTTCCCCGGAGTTCTTTGAACCAGTAAGGACTTCTGGCCTCACTCTACTACATTCTCTTGTCTCAGTTTTGAGGACTCATGAAACATGACTGCTTCCTAAATATGGTAAAAATAAGATCGATCACATACAAACATTTAGCAAATTATTTATCTCAGCATTTCATTTACTTGTAATTGTACAACTGACTTTTTATTAGTGATTAATAAAATTATGCTAGCTTCAAGGTGGTTTTGAAAGCAAGGGCTCAATCTATTTCATTTCAAATGACTTATCCTATATTTACGACCATTTGATAGTATGGAACATAAAGTCAGATGCTGTCACTCAATGTATTTCTTAGACACATATATGTGCATTTTCTCTTCAAACATAAGATTCTAAGTAAATCAACAAAAACCTGTCAATTTTATAAGGCACTTATCTCCTTTTCACGTAGGACTGCTTAATAAATTGTACCATATTGCACAACAGATAAAGCTGCAACCTTAATGAAAGTTTCAGAAAGGTGACACGTAATACAACTTAATATATTCTTAAATAAAGGAGGATGGCTAAATTGGTATTCAGGAGGCAGGAGAGTCTCAGAGGAACCCCTATCACCATTTCAGGTATATACATAAATATGCTACAGAAGTAGGTGACATTTCTGTATAACAAACGATTCAGACAGAATTACTTTATGTATGAGCAAACTTCACAATTTTAGAAATTCTTAGTTGTGTATCTTTTTTCAAATGCCATTGTTTTCTGCTTTGCTATTATGCAAAATGAGGTCCAAGGCCAAGAGAGTTCACAATAAACTACCTGTGTGTTAACAAAATAAATCTGAAAGGGACATGTTCTTAACATTTAAAACAGTGTACTATTTGGATTTTAATTAGAGTAATTACTTTCTTTACCACATAACTAATAGAACAACTACAAATGTCTGAAAATGTTTTTAAAAACTTAATTTTATTTAACTGTTAAATAAGATAAAACAATAAGTAATTTGTTAGTCACCTTTATATGAGTGTCTCGAAGAAATTGTAGATTTTCTCACATAAAGTAAAATCTGCAGCAATTTCTTTTTATTTTTCCTTCTGTGCTATGTTATTTTCTTTGGGAAAACGCTCTCTTTACCTATTATAAAAATACATTCAAAATCAGATACTTTAAAATATTTTAAACTAAGTTTCTTACACAACTTAATATTTTTCTTTACACCTGAACTTGCATAGTGAGGCTGGGAAGGGTTCATATGCTCAAATCTGTAGTAATGTTAAAAGCAACCCAACGGATTCCAACAAAAACAACTACTCACTACATTAGCAACGTTATTATACTTAGAATGCTACCACTTGATTAAACCAAAATCTTCTCTAAAGCACATCTTAAAAATCACAAACAACACCTTATTTTAGAAAGTGAAAGAGAATCAAGGGCAAGCTTTATCCTTGCCAAATCCATACTGAAAAGTCTGCACTAGCACTCAATGAAGTGTAAAAATTACAACACATAGTGCAACTATTATAAAAGTATTACACTGTGTGAATACCAAATAAATAAACCGGAGTATCTTTCCCCACATAGGAAGTTTCAATAAAATCAATAATAAATGAGGTATGAAAACAGCAGTGTGTTAAGTATTTAATAACCATTAGAGATAGCTAGGCTTCTTGGTCTTCTCTAAGTGTATCTCACATCCTTATTGAATGGAGATAACCCACCAAGTACGTCTCAAGTAAACATCTTTCCATTAATGCATGGGGAGTAGAAATCACAAAAAGAAAATCTGTCTCTTCTAACATAGCTCATTCAGGACCTAGCTTCTTAGTGATGTCAATAGGGTGACGGATAGATGAGAAATGGTAAGGCGGCAGAACAAGAGAATGCGAAAGTAGTATTTGCAGAGATGGGAGACAAAGGAGCCCTGGCAAGTAGCAGTATTGCAGCTTTGGACGCAGCCCTCTTCCCGCATAAGTCTCCTTTTCCCACGACCATGCCAAGTTTCAATCATTTCGAGCAGAATGCACACACGTGCCCTCTGAGGTATTACCCATCTGACTAGATCTTAAACCTAACAAGAGAACCTTCGCAGCAGAAAGGAAGAGACCGATGAGACAAGAATACCCTTTCCCCTCCTCCCTCCTCTCACTTGGTGCAGCGGTCGCCACCGCTGCTACCCACGCCGTGCTGCCCAGCCCCTCAGCCTCCTCCAGCTTCCTCTGCCCCGCTACGTGGGAGACGGTTGGGAACCAAAATGGTGGTGTTTTAGTGTAGGCGACAGTTGTCGCACACGCCCCCCCCCTCCCCCCAACTCCCAGGCTCTGACGGCTCCCAATCCCCTAAAATGCCGATTCGGTGCCACTTCCTCGCACACGCCGCCATCCCTCGCGCATTCCAAAGGTTACTATTAGCTCGGTCAGGGGGCGGGGGCGAGGCGACTGGGGCGCCAGTGAAAAGAATATGGGGTGGAGGGAGAGCTGAGAGAAACTGCCAGGGGGACGCTGCATTCTTCACTTCACCGTTTTGTTTTCCGCCATTTTACCGTCACCCTAAACCACCGACGGTCTCAACGACGGCTCTAGCTCCCTGGGGCTCTGGCCTAGGGAAAGAGGAGGTTGGCTAAGGGGGAAAACCCTTACTTCCCTCAATTCCTCCAGCCCCCGGCTGCGGCTGAAGAGGAAAACTCCGCCCGAGGCGGGAGGAAAGCTCAGGGACTGGACGCCACTTCCATTGTTCCCTTCGCCCTACGCTACACGCTGGGTGTGAGCCTCTCCTCCCCTCAGACAAGAAACACTGAACGCGGTGGATCCACGTCCCTCTAGTTTCTCGTCAGGAGTCTCCTTACCTGCTGCTGCAGCTACAGCTGCCGCCGCCGCTGCCGCCGCCGCTGCCGCCGCCGCCGCCGCCGCCGCCTCCGTGCCGCCAGTCGGACTGTGACCGCGCTCTGGATGGCTGCGGGGGGCGGCAGCTGTGGATCCCTTAAGGTCCTCACATTCGGGTTTCCGAGGTTCCGCAGCCCGAGCCAATCACAATCTACTCTGCGTCTGGGAGGCGCGCCGCCTCATTCTCCTTTATATTGCTGCTGACATGCTGAGGTTGCATTACGTCACGCTACCCTTGCTGCAGGGTAGGGGGCCAAAGGGGGGTCTCGCGCACGCGCGCGCGCGGGAGATCGAGGCGCCCGCGCTAGGTTAGTGCGAGACCCCGCCGGCTTGAGGCGGGGGCTGAGCGCCGGCCAAGTCCAAGTGCGCAAGCCCAGATCTCGGCGCGCCCCTGAGGAGTTTCTGTGGGAAGATTTTCTGTTTTCCAGGTTTCCCAAGGGAAACGAAGAAAGGGAGGAGGATAATCAATGACTGAACCTCTAATAGATGTTGGACGACGTTAAAAAAAAAATGTATCGGCCCTACCCTCGAGGATTTGACAAATTAGACTGACCAGAGTAATAAGAGGTATGCCTCACCCCAATAAAACCTGTGTGTGTTGCAGTTTCCCTTCCTCCCTCCCTTCATTTCTTTTCTATTTTGTAATGGTAGACAATTCGATGAAGAAAGTGAAGGAGAGTGAAGAAAGGTATAGAAAGGAAAAGGTGAACAAGGGACCTCAATGAAGTGGACACTAAATATCTCATGAATGTGTCACTTTCAGCTTCTGTCTGCAAAAAGTGGGAGGACAGTGAGAAATTCATTGGGTGAGGGATGGGGAAAAGAGTGATGAGATGTGATGAAAGGTAGGTGGGGACTAGATTGCGTAAGCAAAGAGTCTTATGTTTTGCCTATTTTAGCTTTAATTCTATAAGCATTTGGAATCAATAACAGTGTTTAAGCAGGGAAAGGATAGGATCCTAAAGAAAGTAACTCTTTATCTTTGCAAATCATTTGAATATTTACAAATAAAGCATGTTATTATTCTAGATTCTAGATACATTCTTCAGGTCTCTATAACCTAATATACCACTAAAGTTTTTGATAGAATTATAGAAGATGTGAAAGTCCTAGCACAGTACCTGGCTCATAGTAGACCAGGAGTCGGCAAACTTTCCCTATGAAGGGCCGGATAGTAAATATTTTATTTTTGTAAATAAATAGTAGTAAGCAAAATATTTTTTGAGGGCTATAGCGTCTCTGTCACAACTACTCTGCTCTGCCATTGTAGCCCCAAAGTGGCCATAGACACGTTCAGCAGAATGAGGAGATATAATTTCCAAGCTTGAAAAGGGTGAAATTCAGTTATTACTAAAACGTGAAGTATGATAAATAGATAGATAAGAGATTGGTAAATTACCTTCCATTGTGAGGTTCAAAGTTTCTCTGCAAGAAATGCAATTTCTGCAAAGCCCGTACACAGTGGGCACAGAGAAGGAGCATGCTCGTGTGCGCGCATGTGATGTGTGTGTGTATGTGCATGTGTAATGATGGTAAAATATTTGTTTTCCTTACTTTTGAGTTCCAGGGAGAGATAAGTGAGCATGGCTGTGTTCCAGTAGAACTTTATTTATGAACGCTGACATTTGAATTTTATTTCATCTTAATGCGCAGTGAAAAATTATTCTTCTTTGAATTTTTTCAACAATTAAAAATGTAAAAATCACTCTTAGTCATAGGCCATAGAATAACAGGCAGCAGTCCAGATTTGGCTTGTGGGCCATAGTTTGCCCACCTCTGTAGGTTTCATTTACTTAAGCTTTTATTTTCCATTCTAGAAGAAGAAAGATATTTTTATGAGTGTGTCCTCATACATGACATTTTTCTATGTTGGATAGTCTGGCAAATACTACTTATGGTCTTGTCCCATGGCAATTCCAACAGGACACTCAAAGAAGAAAGCTGAGAAAGATGTGGGGTTTTTACATCAATCACCTTTGTGAATGGTACACTGTGGGAGATAATTTTTAAAACCTGAAGGCCATCCTGCTCTTCCCTCTTTCTCCAAACATCTAGTCAATGAAAATATCCTGAGAATTCTTCCTCTTTAATATCCGTGGAATTAATCCCCCTTTTACCTAACATCATTACCTTGTTCAGGTTCACATGCCTTCTTAACTGGATTATTGCAACCCCTTGCTAACTAGTTCCTCTGTGTCCATTTACTCACCAAATTCCCAAATCAAAAATGACAAAATCAGAAAAATATATCAAATCGATTCTCCCCATTCCATTTTCACTTCAGTTGAGGCCCTCACCAATGGGACAGTAGTAATAGTCTCCTGACTTATTTCTCTGCTCCACTTGATATCTTTTACAGTGTAGAGTCTACATCATCACTGAATTCACTTGCATAACAAAACAAACAAAACTGATTATCTTACTCCCCTGCTTAAACATTGCTATCAGTTTCCACTAGAAGTCTAGGATAACACCCAGACAAGTACAAAAAGAGAGTTTTGGTAATCCTGGCTAGGGAACAATGGGGAGACCATTCAACATATGTCCTTTAGATATTTGGCCAATACTTATTTAAAGGAAGAAACTGACTAATAAATGGGAAAAAAAACTGTTAGAGCTGGCTGTTTATGCTATTTTGGAAAATAGTATTGTATTTATAATTATATAGGCATCATAAGCCCAAAGCATTCATTTTTTTCTATTTTATTTTAAAATTTCAACTTTTGTTTTACATTCAGGAGATACATGTGGAGGCTTGTTAACTGGGTATATTGAGTGATGCTGAAGTTTGGTGTATGAATGATCCCATCACTCAGGTAGTGAACATAGTACCCAACAGGTAGTTTTTTAGCACTTGCCCGCCCTCCTTCTCTCTCCTCTCCAGTAGTCCTCAGTGTCTGTATCCATCTTTATGTCCATGTGTACCCAAATAAAGCATTCATATATATATGGCTCTACTGTTGTTCATATTTAAGTAACATTATAATAAAACTACCATAATTTAAATGAACATTGGGAGTACAATTTTTCCTTTAAAATAGTCTAATAAAAAATACAAAATGACACTCAAAAAGTCCGTAAATACTATCCCACGTAAAAGGTACCAGGACTCCTTGGGGGGAATAGCTAATTCCAAGTTTGAGATAAAAAAAAACAAATAAGATGAGATTGTGACATATTGTGTCAGAGAGCAGGGGTACCATCAAAGTCTAATGTCAAAAGTACACAGGAGGCCAGGTGCGGTGGCTCACGCCTGTAATCCCAGCACTTTGGGAGGCCGAGGCGGGCGGATCACGAGGTCAGGAGATCGAGACCATCCTGGCTAACACGGTGAAACCCCGTCTCTATTAAAAATACAAAAAAAAAAAAAAGTACATAGGAGCTTCAAACAATAATAGTAACTTTGAATGATGAAAACACATTGACTATATAAAAATTCATGAGTTGATTAATGATACCGATAGAGAGGGATCCCCCTACTCCCAAAGAATGAAACCTCATTGAATACCATTTAAGGTAAATAGAACATTGACTCCTTATTCTGACAATTAGCAGTCAAAAGAAAAAAAAAATCAGTATCTTATTCTGCTTTTTTTGTACAAACTTTCAGAACAACAAGAAAGCCCTAGTTTGATAAGAGAAAGTTCTTTTTGCAAGAAATACAGTTAGTAAATGTAGGAAAAAATCCAGAAGTAAATGTAGAAAATCACTATTTTACAACCTCCAATGATGTAACAGATCCAGGCAAGGATCATCAGTGGGTGAAATATGAGATGAAAAAGTTTATTAAGGAGTTCAGGCCGTCGTCACCTGAACCCTGTAATAATTTTATCATTGACAACATTTGGTATTGTCATTATTCTTTATTTCAGCTGATCAGATAGTTGTATAGTGATATCTCATTGTCTGACAGCTAATAATTTGTCTAATAGCTAATAATTAACACCTGTTTGTGTCCTTATTTGCCGTAACTTCTCTGATGAAGCGTCCATTTAAGTTCTTTGCCCATCTTTTAATGTGGTTGTTTCCTTACTATTGAGTTTTCAGAGTTTAAAAAAAATACATTTTCTGGATACTAGTCCTTTATCAGATACGTGATTTGAAAATATTTTCTGTACATCATTACTGGGTCTTTTCATTCACTTTACAGTGCCTTGGGCAGAAAAAATGTTTTCAAATTTGATGAAGTCAAATTTGTCATTTTTTTTTTCTTGCATGTGTTGTGCTTTGGTGTCAGTTTTAAGGTTTTTTTTCCCCTAAAAGTTTAACATTTTAGTTTTTGCATTTACATATATTAATTATTTTGAGTTGGTCTTTATATAAGGTGTGAAATTCAGGTTAAGGTTCATTTTCAAAGGTTCCAGCAATATTTGTTCAAAAGACAACCTTTTCTCCACTGAATTGCCTGTGTATCTTTGTAAAAATATCAAATGGCCATATTCATGTAGGTGCATATCTGTCCTATTGTTTAGGTTCCATTGACTTGTGGACTTGTGTATCTATCCCTTTACAAACACTGCTCTGACTTGATTACTTTAGCTTTATAGTAACTTCTAAAATTAAGTAGTGTGATTCCTCTTTGTTTTTGTCAAAATGTAATGAGCTATTCTAGTTCTTGTGTCTTTACATGTAAATTTGAATATTAGCATGTCTATATACAAATTTCTGCTGGGATTTTGGTTGATATTGTGTTAATCTATAGATCTCTTTGAGGGAGAATTGACATCATTACTATAATGATTCTTCTATTCATGAACACAGTATGTCCATTTGTTTAGGTCTTCTTGGATATGTTTCATCAGTGTTTTGTCATTTTCAGTATATACATTCTGTGCATGCTTTGTTAGGTTTGTACCAAACATTTTCAGTTTTAGGAGCTATTGTAAATGGCATTTTTAAAATTGCAGTTTCAAATTTTTCTCTGTATTTAGTTATAAGCAGTTTGAATATAATATGTCTGGGCTTGGACTTTTTTGTGTTTATCCTCTTTAGGGTTCACTCAGCTTATTTTATTTTATTTTATTTCATTTTATTTTATTTTATTAATCGTGGTAAGAACACTTAACATGAGATCAACCCTTTCAACAAATATTTAGTTGTACAATGCAGTATTGTTAACTAAAGGCACAATATTGTACAGCATATTTGTAGATATTAATCATCTTGAGTACTGAAACTTTATACAAATTAAAAACAACTGCACATTTCCCAGTCCCCCAGCCCCTAAGAATCACCACTTTACTCTTTCATTCTATGAGTTTGACAATTTTATTGTATTTTTTTGTATTTAATATTTATGGGTACATAGTAGATGTATATATTTGTGGGATACAGGAGATAGTTTAATACAGGCATACAATGTGTAATAAACACATCTCAGGGAAAATGGAGTATCTCTCATCTCAAGCATTTATCATTTCTTTGTGTGACACTCCAATTATATTCTTTTAGTTATTTCTAAATGTGCAATAAGTTATTGTTGACTGTAGTCACACTGCTGTGCTACCAGACACCAGCTCTTTTTCATTCTATTGAACTGTATTTTTTGTACCCATTCACTATCCCCATTTCCCCCAACCTCCCACTACCTGTCCCAGACTCTAGTAACCATCATTCTGGTCTCTATTTTCATGAGTTCAATTGTTTTAATTTTTAGCTCCAACAAATAAGTGAGAGCATGGAAAGTTTGTTTCTGTGCCTGGCTTATTTCACTTAACATAATGACCTCCAGTTCCATCCATGTTGTTGCAAATGACAGGATGCCATTCTTTTCTATGGCTGAGTAGTACTCCATTGTGTATATGTACCACATTTTCTTTATCTATTCATTTGTTGATGGACACTTAGGTTGCTTCCAAATCTTGGCTATTGTGAGCAGTACTGCAGCAAACATGGGAATGCAGATACCTCTTCAATATACTGAATTCCTTTCTTTGGGGTATATATATAGCAGTGAGATTGCTAGATTATATGGTAGCTCTACTTTTAGTTTTTTGAGGAACCTCCAAAGTGTTCTTTATAGTGGTTGTACTAATTTACATTCCCACCAACAGTGTACAAGAGTTCTGTTTCCTCCACATACTCACCAGCATTTGTTATTGCCTGTCTTTTGGATAAAATCCATTTTTTCTGGGGTGAGATAATACCTCACTATAGTTTTGATTTGCATTTCTCTGATTATCAATTATGTTGAGCATGTTTTTATACACCTGTTTGCAATTTGTATGCCTTCTATTGAGAAATGTCTACTCAGATATTTGACCCATTTTTAAATTGAATTACTAGATTTTTTCCTATTGTTTGAGCTCTGTATATATTCTGGTTATTAATCCCTTGTCAGATGGGTAGTTTGCAAATATATTCTCCCATTTTGTGAATTGTCTGTACACTTTGTTGATTATTTCCTTTGCTGTGCATAAGCTGTTTAACTTGATATGATCCTATTTGTCCATTTTTTCTTTGGTCCTGTGCTTCTGGGGTATTACTTAAGAAATCTTTGCCCAGATAAATGTACTGGAGAGTTTCCCCCAATGTTTTCTATTAGTAGTTTATTAGCTTGAAGTCTTATATTTGAGTAGTTAATCTATTTGGATTTGCTTTTTGTATATGGTGAGGAATAGGGATCTAGTTTCATTCTCTGCATATACAAATCCAGTTTTCCCAGCACCATTTATTGAAGAGACTGTCTTTACTCCAGTGTATGTTCTTGGCACCTTTGTTGAAAATGAATTCAGTGTAGGTGTGTGGATTTGTTTCTGGATATTCATTCAGAATTGGTTCTCTATTCTGTTCCATTAATTTATGTGTCTATTTTAATGCCAAGACCATGCTGCTTTGTTTACTGTAGCTCTGTAGTATAATTTGAAGTCAGGTAATGTGATTCCTCCAGTTTTGTTCTTTTTGCTTAAGATGGCTTTAGCTATTCTGCATCTTTTGTGGTTCTGTATAAATTTTAGGATTGCTGCTTGTAGCAATCCTAACAAGCATGGATTATCTTTTCATTGTTTTGTCCTATTCAATCTATTTCATCAGTGTTTTATAGTTTTAATTATAGAGACCTTTAATTTAGTTCATTAATTCCTAGGTACTTAATTTTATGTGTGGATATTTTAAACGGGATTTTAAAAAATTTCTTTTTCAGATTGTTCACTGTTGGCTTATAGAAATGCTACTGATTTCGTATCCCGTAATGTTACTGAATTTGTTTACCAGTTCTTATAGTTTTCCAAATATAAGATCATAGCATCTGCAAACAAGGATAATTTGACTTCTTCCTTTTAAATTCAGATGCCCTTTATTTATTTTGTCTGATTGGTCTAAGTAGGACTTCCAGTACTATGTTGAATGATACTCATGAAAGTGGGCATCCTTGTCATGTTCCATATCTTAAAGGAAAGGCTTTCAGTATTTCCCCATTCATTATGATACTAGCTGTGAGTCTGTCATGTGTGACTTTTACTGTGTTGTGGCACATTCCTTCTATTACCAGTTTTTTGAGGGTTTTTATCATGAAGGATTGTTGAACTTTATCAAATGCCTGTTCAGCATCAATTGAAATGATCATATGTTTTTTGTCCTACATTCTGTTAGTATGATGTATCACATCGATTGATTTTTATATGTTGAACCATAATTACATTCTGGGATAACCTCACTTGGTTCATGAAGAATAATATTTTTAATGTGTTGTTGAATTCAGTTTACTAGAATTTTGAGGATTTTTGCATCAATTTTCATTAGGAATATTAACTTATTAACTTGTACCCTTACTTTTTTGATATGTCTTTGGTTTTTGCATCATGGTAATACTGGTTTCATAGAATGAGTTCAGAAGTATTCATTCCCTCCTCTTCCTCTATTTTTCAGAATAGCTTGAATAGGATTGGTATTAATTCTTTAAATGTTTGGTAAAGTTCAGCAGTGAAGCCATAGGGTCCCAGGATTTTTGTTACTGGAGACTTTATTACAGCTTGAGTCTCGTTACTTGTTATTGGTTTGTTCAGCTTTTGAATTTCTTCATGGTTCAATCTTCGTAGGTTGTACATGTGTAGGAATTTATCAATTTCTTCTAGGTTTTCCAGTTTATTGGTATATGGTTGCCCATAGTAGTCTCTAATGATTATTTTAATTTCTGTGGAATTAGTAGTGATGTCTTCTTTTTCATCTCTATAATTTTATTTACTTGTGTCTTCTCTCTTTTTATCTTGATTAGTCTGGTTAAAAGTTGGTCTATTTTTAAAATCTGTTTTAAAAACCAACTTTTTATTTCATCAATCTTTTTATTGCATTTTTGTTTAAATTTCACTTATTTCTGCTCTGATCTTTATTATTATTTTTTCTACTATTTTCAGGTTTGGTTTGTTTTTGCTTTAGTAGTTCTTTAAGATGCATCATTAGGTTGTTTATTTAAAGTTTTTCTACTTTTTTGATGTAGGTGCTTATAGCTATACAATTTCCTTTTAGTACTGCTTTGGCTATATCTCACAGATTTTGGTATATCGTGTTTCCATTTTCATTTGTTTCAATAAATTTTTCAGTTTCCTTCTTCATTTCTTTGTTGCCCCACTGATCATTCAGAAGCATGTTGTTTCATTTCTGTGTGTTTGTATAGTTTCCAAAATTCTTTTTGTAATTAATTTCTAGTTTTATTCTATTGTGGTCAGAAAAGATACTTGATATAATTTTTTTTGAATTTCTTAAGACTTATATTGTCCTATCTTGGAGAATAATTCATGTGCTAAGGAGAAGAATGTGTCTTCTGTAGCTTTTGGATGAAGTGTTCTGTAAATATCTATTAGGTTCATTTGGTCTATAGTGCAGATTAAGTACAATGTTTCTTTGTTGATTTTTTGTACGGATGATCTGTCTCATGCTAAAATGGGAGGTCTCCATCTATTATTTTATTGGGGTGTATCTCTCTCTTAGCAATAATAATATTTGCTTTATGTATCTGGGTGCTGTAGTGTTGGTTGCACATATAATTGTTATAACCTCTTTCTGAATTGACACTTTTATCATTAAGAAACGTTCTTTGTTTCTTTTTATAGTTTTTGTCTTAAAATCTATTTTGTCTCAAATAAGTATACTTACTCTTGCTCTTTTTCGGTTTCTATTTGCATGGAACATATTTTTTCATCCCTTTATTTTCAGTCTATGTGTGTCTTTATGGGTGCAGTTTGATTCTTATAAGCAGCAGATTGTTGGGTCTTGTTATTGTTTTTTTTAAAACCATTCAGCCATTCTATGTCTTTTGATTAGAGAGTTAAGTCCATTTACATTCAGTGTCATTATTGATATGTAAGGATTTACTCCTGCCATTTTGTTTTTTGTTTTCTGGTTGTTTTGTGGTCTTCTCGTCCTTCTTTCCTCCCTTCCTGTATTCCTTGTAGTGGAAGTGATTGCCTGTGGTAGCATGATTTAGTTTCTTGCTTTTTATTTTTTGTAAATCTGTAGTTGTTTTTTGATTTGAGGTTAACATGAGGCTTACAAAGAATATCTTGTAATCCATTACTTTAAACTGAAGGCAGCCTAATACTAATTGCATAAACAAACTAATAAGCAAAAAAGAAAACTAATGAAAACTACACTTTAGCTTTGTGTCCCCATTTTAACTTTTTGTCATTTCTATTTATGTCCTAATGTACTGTCTTATGTGTTGAAAAGTTGTAGTTATTATTTTTGATCAATTTATCTTTTAGTCTTTCTATTTAAGATATGAGTAGTTTACACATTCATAATTACAGTGCTATGATATTCTGTGCTTTTCTGTGTATTTACCACTACCAGTGAATTTTGTACCTTCAGGTGATTTCTTATTACTCATTAACACTCTTTTCTTTCAGACTGATGAACTCCTTTTAGCATTTCTTGTAGGACAGACCTGGCATTGCTGAAATCCCTCAGCTTTTGTTGGTCTGGAAAGTCTTTATTTTTCTTTCATGTTCAAAGTATAATATTACTGGGTATGCTATTCCAGGGTAAAAGTTTTTTTTTTCCTTCAGCACTTTAAATATGTCATGCCACTCTCTCCTGGCCTGTAAAGTTTCCACTGAAAAGTCTTCTGACAGATGTATTGGAGTGTTTTTGCATGTTCATTTCTTTTATCTTGCTGTGTTTAGTATCCTTTCTTTATCTGTGACCTTTGGAAATTTGATTATTAGATATCTTAAGGTAGTCTCATTTAGGTTACATTTGCTTGGTGTTTTATAACCTCCTCGTACTTGAATATTGCCATCTTTCTCTAGGTTTGGGACATTCTCTGTTATTATCCCTTTGAACAAGCTGTCTATCCTGATCTCTATCTTTCTGCCTCCTCTTTAAGACCAATAATTCTTAGATTTGCCCTTATTGAGGCTATTTTCTAGGTCTTGTATGCATGTTTTATTCATTTTATTCTTTTTGTTTTTGTCTCTTCTCACCGTGTATTTTCAAATAATCTATCTCAAAGCTCAATAATTCTTTTCTCTGTTTGATCAATTATGCAGTTAAGAGACTGATGCATTCTTCTGTATGTCCATCACATTTTTGGATTCCAGAGCTTCTGCTTCGTTCTTTTTAATTATTTCAACCTCTTTGTTAAATTTATCTGATAGGATTCCAAATTCCTTCTTTGTGTTATCTTCAATTTCTTTGGGTTTCCTCAACACAGCTATTTTGAATTATCTGTCTGAAAGGTCACATACCTCTGTCACTCAGGAATTGGTCACTCGTGCCTTATTTAGTTTGTTTGGTGAGGTCATGTTTTCCTAGGTGGATGTTTGTGAATGTTCATTGGTGTGTGGTCACTGAAGAGTTAAGTATTTCTTGTAATCTTCAGAGTCTGGGCTTGTTTGGAGCCTTTCTTCTTGGAAGGCTTTCCGGGTATTTGAAGGGACTTCAGTGTTCTAAGTTTTTGTTCACTGCAGCCATATCTTCATTAGGAGACACCCCAAGACCACTAACACTGTGGTTCTACTGACTTGGTTGTCTTGGTTAAGATCTGGAAGAATTCTCTGGATTACCAGCAGAGACTCTTTTTCTCTTCCCTTACTTTCTCCCAAATAAATGGAATCTGTCTCTCTGTGCTGAGCTGCCTGGAGCTGAGGGAAGGCTGACACAAGCAACCCTGTGGCCACCACCACTGACACTGTGCTGGATCAAACCTAAAGCCAATAGGTTAAGGGGGTCTCACTTAAGGCCTGCGGTAACCACTACCTGATTACTGCCTATATTTACTCAAGGCCCTACGGCTCTACAATCTGGATGTTGTGAAGCCAGCCAGGTTTGTGTTTTTCCCTTCAGGATGGCAAGTTTCCCCTGTCCACAGGCAGGTCCAGAGATGTCATCCAGGAGCCAGGCCCTGGAGTTAGAAACCTTAGAAATGTACCTGGTGCTCTATTCTAGTGTGGCTGAGCTGGGACCCAAGCCACAAGTCAAAGTCATATACACTTTTCCCTTTTCTTTTCACAGGCAAAGGAGTTGCTTCCTGTGGCCACCAACATCCCAGAGCCATGGCGAGTACTGCCTAGACACCACCAATGTTCGCTCAAGGCCCAAGGGCTATTCAGCCTGTTGTGGTGAATGCTGCCAGGCCTGGGACTCTCCCTACAGGATAGTGGGCTTTTCTCTAGCCCAATATAAGTCTAGAAATGACATCCAAGAGCCAAGGCCTGGATTCAGGGATCCCAAGAGCTTACTTGGTGCTCTTGTTCACTGTGGCTGAACTGGTAGCCATGCTGTGAGGCAAAGTCCCCTTTACACATTCCTCTTCTTTTCTCAAACAAAACAAATCTCTCTCCATAGCCACACCAGCTGGGAATGTGCTGGATTAAGCCAGCACTCGCCACCTTAAGCCAGCACATCTCTGAGTATCACCCAAAACCCACACTGAGTGTTGCCTGGGCACCATTCAGGACCCAAGCGCTGTTTATTCAGCAGATGATTCATCTTGCCAGGACTGGGTTCTTCCCTTTAAGCTTGTGGGTTCTGTTCTGGCCCAGGTTGTGTCTAGATTTTTGTCTGGGAGCCAGGGCTTGTAATGGGGCCTCACAACTTGGCTCAGTGCTCTCTCCTAAGGTGGGTGAGCTGGTATCCAAGTTGCAAGACAACGTCTTCTTTACTCTTCCTCTCCTCTCTTCAAGCAGAAGAAAGGAGTTTCTTTCAGAGCTGTGAGCTGTGTGCCTGGAGTTGAGGGAGTGGTGGTGCAAGCACTCCCTTGGCTGCCCCAGCTAGTGTCTCATTAGGTTGCATGTCCCCCAAGTCCACTAACTCTGAGCCCAGCACAGCAGGAGTACTTGCATAGGAATTGCAGTCCTTATGACCTAGACTGCCTTTCAAGTTTATTTAGATCCCCAGAGCACTTTAGCCCACAGTGGCAAGGCTTTCTGGAACCCAGGTTCCAAGTACTGGGATGGCCTTCTGGCTAGAGCTGGTCTAAATATTCCCTCTGTGGGCACCAGCTGAGTTCTGCCCCATGTCGCTTTTCACTGTGGCAGGAGAGCACTGAGTTCTAATGCAAAGTCTCACAGTCCTTGCACTCTGCCTCCCCCAAGCACACAAGTTCTCTCTTTGCACCACTCTGCCACTGCCCTGGCATGGAGGAGTGGTGGCATTGGGAATTGAAGACTGTTTTTCCTACCTTCTTCAGTGCCTCTTTCAGTGATATGAAGTTAAATCTAGTACTGTGATCCCTTACCTGATTTTTTTGTTCTAATGAAGGTAGCTTTTTGTGTGGATAGTTGTTCAATTTGGTGTTCCCACAGGGAGGATGATTACTGGAATCTTCTATTTGGCCATCTTATTCCACCTCCCACTGAGTTTGAGTATTTTAGATACTGCCTTTAAGTGGAATCATGCAAAATTTATCCTTCTGTGACTAGTTTATTCCTTTTAGCATAATGTCCTCCAGCTTCATCCATATTAATCCAAGTGGCAGGATGTCCTTTATATTCAAGGTTGAATAGTATTCTTTTGTATGCATATACCACATTTTCTTTATCCGTTCATTTGTGGGTATAAATTTAGCTTGTTTCCATCTCTTGGCTACTATGAATAATGTTTCAGTGAACATGGGAGTGCAGGTATCTCTTTCAGATCCTTATTTCAATTCTTTTGGATATATACCCAGAAGTGGGGTTGCTGCATCATATGGTAGCTCTATTTTTAGTTTTTAAAGGAACTTCCATACTTTTTCCATAATGGCCATACCAATATACATTCCCACCAGCAATGTACAAGACTTGCCAACATTTGTTGTGTTTTTATTTTTTAATAATAGCCATTCTAACAGATGTGATGTTACTTCTTACTGTGGTTTTGATATGCATTTCCTGATAACTAAGGATATTGAGCATCATTTCATATATTTATTGGCCATATGTATGTCCTCTGTGGAGAAATGTCTATTCAACTCTTTTGCCTATTTTTTAATTGGGTTATTTGGTTCTTTTGCTTTGTTTTGTTTGCTTTTTATTTGTAAGAGTTTGTTATGTATTTTGGATATTAAACCCTTATCAGATTTAGAAATATTTTCTCTCATTCCATAGTTTGTCATTTCACTCTGTGGACTGTTTCCTTTGCTGTGTAGAAGCTTTTTAGTTTGATGTAGTCCCACTTGTCTATCTTGGTTTTTGTTGTTGCTTCTGCTTTTTGTCTCATATCCAAGAAATAAATGCCAAGACAAATATCATAAAGCTTTTCTCATAGGCATTTTACAGTTTTAGGTCTTATGTTTAAATATTTAATTCATTTATAGTTGATTTTTGTGTATGACATAAAATAAAGAAATGACCAATTTCATTATTTTGCATGTGTATATCTAGTTTTCCCAACACTTCTTCTTGAAGAGATTATCATGTTCTCATTGTGTATTCTTGGCATCCTTATTGAAGATCAATTGGTTGTATATGCATGGTTTTATTTCTACGATATCTATTCTGTTCCATTGGTCTATATGTCTGATTTTATGCCAGTGCATATTGTTTTTATTACTATAGCTTTGTAATATATATTGAAATCAGGAAATGTGATGCCTCCAGCTTTGTTGTTTCTCAAGATTGCTTTGGCTTTTTGGGTTCTTTTTGTGGTTCCATATGAATTTAGGATTGTATTTTTTATTTGTGTAAAAAATGTCATTGGGATTTTGATAGGGATTGCATTGAATCCATAGATCTCTTTGGGTAGTATGAACATTTTAACAATATTAAGTTTTCCAACTCATGAACATAGGATGCCTTTCTATATATTTGTGTCTTTAATTTTTTCATCAGTGTTTTGAAGTTTTCAGTTTAGAAGTCTTTCGCCTACTTTAAGTTTGTATTCAAGTATTTTATTCTTTTAGACGCTATTGTAATTGGAATTATTTCCTTTTCTAATAGTTCATTGTTACTGTATATAAACACAACAGTTTTTGTATGTTAAATCTGTATCCCACAACTTTACTGAATCAGTTTATTAGTTCAAACAATTGTTTTGTGGAGTCTTTACAGTTTTCTAGATATGAGATTATGTCAAGGTAAATTTCTTCTATAACTGATCTGTTGAGACTTTTTTTTTAATTCTGAATGGGTGTTGAATTCTGTCAAATGCTTTTCCTGCTTCTATTGAGATTATAATGTGGTTTTTATACTTATGTTAATGTGTTATATTACATTAAGAGATTTGCATATATTAACCATCCTTGCATATGAGGGATGAATCCCACTTAGTTGTGGTGTATGATACTTTTAATATGCTATTGAATTTGGTTTGCTAGTATTTTGTTGAGAATTTTTGCCTCTTTGTTAATCAAGGATTAATTGCTCTTCAGTTTTCTTTTCTCAGAGTATCTTTGTATGTCTCTGGTATCAGGGTAATGCTAGCCTCATAACATGAATTTGGAAGTATTTCCTCCTCTTCTGTTTTTTGAAAGTATGAGAAGGATTGGTGTTAATTCTTTTTTTAGATGTTTGGTAGAATTCACCAGTGAAGGCATTTGGTCCTGGACTTCTCTTTGCTGGGAGTAGTTTATTAATGATCCAGTGTCTTTCCTGTTTCAGTTTAGTGCCTTTTCATTGTGACTTGAAAAATTCTATTTAGCATTTCACTGGTAGATTGGATGTGGAGTAGAGATAAAGAGAAAAGTCAAAGATGACTCCAAAGTTTTCAGCCTGAGCAAGAGGAAGGATGGAGTTGCTGCCATCTGAAATGGGGAAGTCTATAAAAGTGGAGCAAATTTTTAGTGAGTTCAGCTGTGGATCTAAGTTCACGATGTTTGTTAAATATTCAAGTTGAGTTGGATTTCAGGGGAGAAGTCCAGGATTGAAATACAAAATTTGGAGATCATCAAGAAAGAGTGTATATTTAGAAGAGAAGGACTGAACTCTGGAGAATTGTTAGAAATCATAAAAATGAGAATAAACCAGCAAATAACACTGAGAAGAAGAGAACAACAAGGCAGGAGGAAAACTAGGAGAGTATGATGTTTTGGAAGCCTAAAGAAGTGACCAGTTGCATGGAATGTACTGATAGTTCAAAGAAGATGGGGACTGAGAATTGACCATTGGATTTTGCAACATTGAGGTCATTGGTGACCTTGACAAGAGCAATTTCAGTGGAGTGGTAGGTGTGAAAGCCTAGTTGTAATGAGTTCTATAAAGAATGGGATGAATGGAATTGGAAACTAGAAATCAAGAAAACTCCTTTGAGGGATTTTCTTCTAAAGGAGGCAGAGAAATTGGGCAATAGCTAGAGGGGGCTACAGGGACATCAATAGACATTTTTTTTAAATGTGAGAAATTATAGCACATTTCTATGCTGATTGGAACTGATCCAGTAGAGAAGGGGAAATTAATAGGGCAGATAAGAAAAAAATTACTGGAATGACATCTTTGAATAGGGAGAAGGTATGTGTTCTAGTACACAAATGAAGGAGTCTGCCTTACTTAGGAGTATGGATAATGACAAGAGCAGAGGCAGGATATGCGTGCATTCTTGCAGTTAGGTCAGTTGGAAGTTATCTTCTGATGCTTGTAGAAAATCTCTCCTTTAAGAAATTCATCATTATGGAAGTTCCAAAAATTTATGAAAGTAGAGAATAGATTAATGAACCTAATAGATTAATGAACGTCCATGCTCTCATCACCCAACTTTAACAATTATCTGTTCATGACCTATATTTTGTTCTATAGCCCCCTCTACACTCTTTCCCCTCCCCAGATTATTTTGAAGTAAATCCCATGTATCATATTATTACAACTCTAAGTATTTTATTATATGCCTCTAAAAGATGGTGCTTTAAAAAATATAACCACATCACCATACCTAAAATATTAACAATAATTCCTTAATATTATTATATGTCCAGACCATGTTCCAAATTCCCCAGTTGTCTTTTTATGTTTGTTTGAATTGTAGCCCACATAAAGACCATGTATTGTGATTGATTGATGTGTCTCTTATGTCACTTTTAATCTATAGATGCTCTTTTCATCTACATTACCCAGTTTATTTCTTGATAAAACCGAACCATTTGTCCTGTAGAGTCCCCCACAGTCTGTATTTTGCGATTGCATCCCCTTGGTGACTTTCAACATGTTCTTCTGTTCTCTGTAATTCCTCATTCAGAGGTTTGATGAGATCTGGATATAACGTTTGCAAGAATACTTTATAAATGGTGGTGTATACTTCTATCAAGAGGCACATAATGTCCAGTTGTTTCCCTTGTTGGGATGTTAGCAGCCATTGATAATTTTTGTTTAGATCTATTAATTGATTGGGTGTTTCTGGAATTAGCAGGAATATTTGTAAAAAGAGAAGCATTTCCTCTCTTCTTTTAAGTTATACTTTTGTGCAGTTCAAAGTTTTGTTTGGATTGCTTTAATTTTCTCAGTGAAGTAGTAAGTAAGGGTATCAGGTAGAATGAAGAGAGATAGGAAATATTAGAGATTTTAGGAAGAGAAGGTGTGAAATAGACATCTAAATGAGAGGCAACATGATTGGACTAGAGAGATTCAGTATGATTGCTAGGTAGCAATAAGAGCACAGATGAGGTTCGTGGTCAAGAATTTAACTAAGACCAATAAGTGTGGTTGTATGCTTTTTAAAAATCACCTTCACCTGTATGGAGGTAGGTTAAAGTAGGGAAAGGACTGGCTTTAAGCAGGCTTTGGTTTTGGCAGCTGAACTCAAGCAAGAAAAAGGCAAGAATATTCAGGACATATACAAGGGAGTGATTATGGAATCTGCAGTAGGTAGAGGGGAAAGTGGACATGAGAATGATAAGTTACTGTAAAAAGCTGATAGGGTCCAAAGAATGCATATCTTATAAAGGTTGAAGAATTATAAAAGCCAGGGTGCTAAAAGGAGTGTGCTGGAGAGATGAAAGGTGCTGATTAGATAGTGGAATGTTTAAAATTGAGATTATAGACAGGGAATGAATATAAGAGTGGCTGAGGAAAAGTGGTGGATAGCTCTCTGGAAGAGAGGAGATCAAGGAAATGAGAACCCAATAAATCTGAACATTTATTAATATATATTGATCACCAAGTATTATGACAGTCACTAGGCCAGAACCTAAACTCCTCAAGTAATGAGTAGTATAACTCAATAAGAAGGAACAGTAAAATATAAGCTCCATGTGGACAGGGAATTTTGTCCAGTTTTATCATTGTATCCCTAACCCTTAGAATAATAACTGGCATATAGTAGAGTGTTCAGTACATGATTGCTTTATGAATGAACAACTAAATGACTGAATGACTTGAAATTCAAAGCTAGGGGGCGTTTAAGGAAGACAGAAGGATAATGGCCTGGAAGTGGTAATGAGGTGCAAATAGGACATCTAACCCAACTTTAGGACCATTGATTTGAGGAATACGGGAAAGAAAGCAGTTGCCATTTGGGCTTTAGGGGAAGCAGTGTCTTCATTGGAAAGCTAGAGTTCTTAGAGCAAGTAGGTGAAAGGAATATTTGGAAAAGAGGTTAAGGATATAAATATTTTTTCTGGTGATGGACTGTAAGTTCTAGTAGACACTGCAGGAGAGTTTCAGGAAATGGGGAAGGGTGGGAAATAGGGTCAAAAAATAATGTGCAGAGTTGCATGGGGAATAAAGTGTAGGGATTTGGGATTTCTGGACTTCTTTAGTTGACTGAAGTAAACAGAGATAAAGGACATAATTATATAATTCTAGTAATATCAAAGCAGGTAATGGTTGTGAGACTATGAGTGTGGGGGTTGGGGGAGAGAGAGATGAGGGTCCTGCAAGGAATGCAGAAAGCTATGAGGCCAGTTCTTCATTCATGTAATAAAAAGATCAAGACCAGGGAACAGGGGATAGCTCCCTCCTAATTCCTGGAGCACAAGGGGCTCTGGATTCCTTTTTGATTCCTGTGTATCATAGGGTTGAATGCCAGAAATCTCTTTTGACTACCACTAAAGGAGAACGTCAGAGAAAAAGAGATATTTCTTGCATATGAACTTTGTGCTTCAGCCATACTTGAATTACTTGAAGTTCCCTCAGTACACCATGTTCTCTTATATCTCTTTGCCTGCTGATCCCTCTTCCTGGTTTATCTCCCATCCATCCCCCATCTATCCAGAATGCTTCTACTCATTCTTCACGACTTAGCTTAAGTATCTCTTCCATGCAGTCTTTCTGCCTTTGCATATTTAAGGAAAATTTAGGGACTTCCTCCTGTTGTATTCCTTAGTACTCCATAAATATATCATCATCTTGACATTTAATTTTTGTTGAATTTTTACTGGGATAGTGTGGATTCACATGCAGTTGTAAGACATGATACAGAAATATTCCATGTACCATTTACCCGGTTTCCCCCAATGGAACATCTTGTAGAACTTTAATTCAGTATTACAGTAAGATTGACATTGACACAATTCACCCATGTTATTCCAATTTCCCTAGTTTTATCTGTAGTTGTGTGTGTGTATTTGTTCTATAAAATGTTATATGTGTAAGTTCATGTATCCACTACCACAGTCAAGATACAGAACAATTTCATCACTGCAAGGATCCGTTTTGTTGTCCTTTTGTAACCACACCTACTTTTCTCCCACCCCCCTAACTCAATCTCTGACAACCACTAATCTGTCCTCTTTGTCTAAAATTTAGTCATTTCAAAGTATTATAAAAATGGAGTTACAGTATGGAACCTTTGGGGATTGTCTTTTTTTCACTTAGCATAATCTTTGGGGATCCATTCAGGTTGTTGTATGTATGTATAGCTCATTCTTTTTATTGTTGAGCAGTGTTACATTGTATGGATGTTTCATGGTTTGTTTATTCATTCACTAGTTGAAGGAAAAGTGTCTCCTTTCCAGTTTTTGGCTGTTACAAAGAAATCTTCTATTTGTATACAGTGCAGGTTTTTGTGGGAATGTAAGTTTTCCTCTTTTTTTTTTTTTTTTTTGATATATACTCATGAGTGGAATTGCTGAATATAGTGGAAGGACCAGGGACTTAAAGGGTAAGTCCATCTCCTCTTATCAGAAAGGCAAAAACTTTCCTGAAATCCTCTCACTATCACACTTCCCCTTCAATCTCATTGACCAGAACTAGTGGCAATGGAGTCTGTAAAAAAGGAACAAGCTTAGATATTTCAAACAAAATTTGAATTCTGTTAGTAAAGATTAAAGGGATATTTGTGATGAAATTAATAGTGCCTGCTAAAATGTCAATGTCTCAGAATGAAAGAAGCTGAATAGAAAAAAATTTTATCATAGGAATAATAGTAGGCTGAATGGTGGTCCTCAAAAAGATATGTCCATGCTCTAATTCCTGGGATCTGTAAACATTACTTATGTGACAAAATATGTGATTAAGTTAAATAAAGATCTTGCTTATCTGTTAAGATACAGGCAGAAGAGGAGACATAGACACACACAGAGGAGAAGATGATGTGAAAAGGGAGGCAGAGATCACAGTGGTGTGGCTACAAGCCAAGAAATACCGAAGCCATCAGAAGTTGGAAGAGGTAAGGAATGGATTTTCCCCTAGAGCCTCTGGAGGGAGCGTGACCCTGCTGACACCTTGATTTAAAACTTCTGGCCTCCAGAACCGTGAGAGAATAAATAGCTGCTGTTTTATGTAACCCAATTTGTGGTAATTTGTTATGGCAGCCACAGGAAACTAATACAATAGTTAAGAGCACTGACATTAGAGTCAGATCTGAATTCAAGGTCTTCCTTTGCCACTTATCGGAACTAGGAGTGTTCCTTTTGATCTCCTCCTCAACTCCTGACAAAAATAATTGCTCTGATGGTCATTATCTAGAAGTATTTTTTTCCCTGCTCCCCTAGTCCATTACTTCAGTCACTCCTATTTTTGTCTCTATAGGTTCAAGCCTTGCACACATGTTGAAAACTATTCTGAGTTACTCTGGGCAGGAAACCTGTGGAAAGCTCCTGCCTGTAAAGGAGTTTGGCACAGTACCAGGCTTCTCTCTTGCTGCTGATCCCTATGCCTATCACACGGATCCCATAATTACATAGCAACCTTTTGTGGCCTTGACTTTGGTCTAGGATTTTTGTTCCCAGTCAGCAAGCCTGGGTTTCTGGTCTCTGCTAATTGTCCTCCTAGATCTGACCCACTTTCTGGACCTAGGCTTCTTATCTTGGCTCATCATCCAGGATTCGGATGATGCAATATCATTTCTGGAAGGGAACCAAGAGGTCATCTAATCTAACCCCTTCACTTTAGAGACAGAAACTGAAAACTTGACTTCATCTTTCTTCTTGGCTCTATCATATCTTCTGTCTTCTCTTGGCCTTAACTAATATCTTTTTTGAGGTCATATGAGAAAAAAAATTCTGCCATACTCATATCCTTTTTCCAGTCTAATGAAATTCGCAGCCAGGCACTTACCCAACACTACCAAGTCTCTAAATTACAAGTGTCAGTAGCAAAAACTTTGTGATAAAGGAAATGGGATAATTCCTAACAAAACATTCTTACTGTGACAGTATCTCAACCAGATGATATAAAAGCACAAACTTTGGACACATACTACTAGGCCAGTCATAACTAAATATACAATATGCTGAAAACATCTATTAAAATAAAAGCTTAGCCATAGAAGAAAGAGGGAAAATTCCTCTGAAACTGTTAAAAATCTCAGAAGGGATGAATATTCCTTCAGAAAACAGCTCGAACAACTTTGTGTATAAGACTATAACATTGTAGTTATATCAAGGCCATTCTAAAAGAAAAGTTACTGTGTATAAACGTATAATCTTAGCTACTAGAGACTTCTAGTTAGAAGAGTAATACCAAGTGGAATATTTCATTTTTTAAGAATTCAGTAAAAAGATTCTCTCCTAGTGGAGAAGAACCTATTTATGGGAGTACCTACCATCTTAGCATATTGTTATCTTTGCTACTACCTTTTGTCACTCTCCTCTACTTGTAAGAAGCAAAGGATGTAAGGACTTATGATTGTTGCTTGGCAGTGTCAGAAAGGCAAACCAAACACATCTTTGAGCTTAGCAGGAAGCAATTAAAATCAAAATTACCTTTGTCACTATGAGATAGATGTAGGAATCAACAAACAGACCTGATTGTAATTAGGTGGTTAGATCAGGCAGTCCAGGTGGCATACATCAGAGTAGACAGGATTGGAAAGAATAAATTCTTTCTCTCTCTTTCTCAAAATATATATATTTCAAATATATATGTATATTGGGCAAAGTTTGGAAAAGTCAGGTAAGACAGGTATATTCAAACATAGACTATAAGTTCAAACATAAGATTTGTTCCCTGGAGTGCAGAGAGCACCTACGGAAGAAACCTTTGTCCACTTTAGCCTTATTCCTGTACTAGGCTATAGCAGATAATAGTTATGATTTCTTGACTAATCACTATTTGCTGGGCACTGTCTCAAGTGTTTTACATGTCTTATTTAATCCTCATAACAGCCCTATGGAGTACAGACTGTTATTCTCACTTTAGAGAAGATGAAACAGAGATAAAGGATAAGTCATTTGCCCAATGTCCCACAGCTAGGAAGTGTGGAATCTGGAATTTCAATGCAGCAGGCTCACTACAGAGTTGTTTAAGCTGTTAACCACTGTGCTAGATTATCTCCTATATATAACTATGCCTTTGACCATCCTTGGTCTTCTCCTACTCTGACTCTAGAACTTACAATAGCAGCCTCTGACAATTTATGAAGTTTTCAGTGCATACAGACAAAATCTCTAACCACCCAGACCCTGTTCTTAGGCCAGCCTCAGCATCAAGAGGCTAAAACTCTGAACACTCAATGTCTATTCCTGCTTAGACTGATAGGAGCCAGTTAGAGCTTGGTCTTGTGTTGTATTAAACACCTACAGAAGTCCTACCACCCAGGGTCTGGCCCTACATGATTCTCAGTATAAATAAAGGAGTCTTTCAACAACTGGAAGCTTGTTTCTATTCTGGACTATGTGACATTCACAGAAAACTTTCAACCAACCAGGAACTCTTTCATGGGCAGCCTAACTTAGAGGTTTTTTTCTGGGATAGCCACATCTTCCATAGAAGTGTCTGAATTCCAAAGACTTATTTATAATCAGGTTATCCAGGCAGAGAGAAATGACATGCAGGAAGGCTCTAAAAGAGAAACCAAAAGTCAAGTATGACTAGAGCACATAGCAAGATGGAGAGTGGTAAGTGAAGTAAGTGAAGAAATTGGAAAAAAATATACTGTTCCTAGTTACAGAGTTTTGAATCAGGCTGATTGTGTTTGAATCCTGGGCTCTGACACTAATTATGGGGCTTTGCACAAGTTACTAAACTACCTAAAGCCTCGATTTCCTCATTTGTACATGGGAAAAATAACAGTACCTACCTCATAGTGATGGGAGGATGGCATAAGATTGCATGTAAAGTATTGTGTGCTTACATCATAGTAAGTATTCTTATGAATATCACACAGTAACACACAAACACATACATGATATAGATGTAGATATGGATGTAAATATAGATAGAGACAGAAAGACAGAGTGACAGAGACCCGATATCTTGGGGTCTTAGAGTGCCTTGTGATCCATGGTGAGAACTTGCAATTTTATTCTAAGGTAATTGGAAGCTATTGAAGAGGTTTAAGGAGAAATATAACAAGACTAGGCATGTATATTAAAATATTACCGTAGCTGTACTGTGGCAATAGGATTGGACTGAGGCAAGTGTAAGATATGGGGGGACCAACTGGGTGTCAGTTACAATTGTCCAGGGAAAAGGTGGTGGTATTTCAGACGATGATAGTGTCAGAATGAATAGAGATAATGGTAGGAGAGGGGACATATTTGAGATCTATTTAGGAAGTAGAAGGGACAGTGACTGGTGAGCACTTAATTTCTTTTTCTCTCACTTAATTTCTTTTTCTCTTTTTTCTTTTCCTAATTTCCCCTTCTCCACCCCAGGGAATTAAGGAGAGATGACTGAAGAACAGGACCAATAGTTGACAGATCATGTAGGACACTGTGTGATGCATCTTAGATCCAGGAGAGTTTTTTTTTTTTTTTTTTTTTTTTTTTTTTTTTTTTTTTTTTTAACACAGAAGTGCTGCCTGGGAGCTAGGGCCTGGAACAGGGTCCTTATGACTCTGATCGGTGCCCTATGCTGCTGTGGCTGAGCTGGTATCCAAAATGCAAGACAAAGTCCTCTACATTCTTCCCTCTCTTCACCTCAAGAGGAAGAAAGGGGTCTCTTTTGGAGCCACAAGCTGTACAGCGGAGAGTTTAGGGGAGGGATGATGCCAGCACTCCCTTAGCTGCTCCCACTGATGTCTCAGCAGGTCATATGCGCCCTCAGACCACTGTTTCTGGGCCCAGTTCAGCACTAGGACTTAAGAGTTGTAGTCCCTGTGGCCTAGACTGCCTATCAAGTTTGCTTTGAAATCCAGAGCACTTTGGCCCTGGGTGGCAAGGTCTGCACGAACTCAAGTTCCACCCATTGGGATACAAGATTCCCCTCTGGCTAGGACTGGTTTAAATGCTCCCTCTGTGGGTGGGTGTCAGCTGAGTTTTATTCTGTTTTCCTTTCTGCTTTAACAGGACAGCACTGAGTTTGATGCCTCACAATTGTTGTGCTGTCCCTTCCCCAATGCCCAGAGATGCTCCACTCCACACTGCTGCTGGGGAGTTGGGGAGAGGTAGTGTCAGTGATTCAAGGTGTTTTTTTTTTTTTTTCTATCTCTTCAGTATTTCTTTCAGTAACATGGAGTTAAAAACCAGGTACTATGAGGGCTCACCTGAATTTCGGTTCTTATATGGGTGTTTTTTTCTGTGTAGATAGTTGTTAAATTGGTGTCCTTGCTGGGGGTAATGTGCAGCGATTGGTGGAGCCTTCTATTCCACCATCTTGCTCCACTCTGAGTACCCTTTAAATAAAGGAGGGATAAAGGAAGAGAAGAAGGAATGAAGGAAGAAAGGAAAGAAGGAGTCAGGGGCCCAGGTTATGGGATCATTCTACAGCACCAATCAGTTTACAGAAATCATTTAGCAATTCTTAGTTTATTTTATGGAATTTATTCATAATGAAATTACATATTTCAAATAAAACTCCTTATTTAGATATGATGCTTTTCTGTAACTCCTTAGCTTTAGCCAGTAACTAATAAAGTACTCAATATTCTCTTTGACCAATTTTCAATCAATCGTTTATGCATTTCACTGAGCACTTTATAAAGATGCATGTCATAAACCAGTTTGCAAATGTTATGCTGCATTTTGGTGATAATAAACATCTGCCATCCCTACTTAGTTAATGAAGTTAGATATTGGAAATGACAGTTTTGTTCAGGAGTCATAGAGTGAGAGAGGGGGAAAAGAAAAAGTTCAAGGTATGAAGAGATAAGAAGTGATGGCATAAATGCAGAAAGAGAAGTAAAGTGTTTAAAGCATAGATAATTCATACTCACAGTGTTTTATTAAAGTATTCTGAGTATGTTTTTAAAATGATCAGATAGCCATATAGTACACATATATGTGTTTTTCCACAGAAAACTTAATATTAGATTTCAATTGCACATGTTCTATCCTATAAGGAATTTCTGACTCTTCTCACGGTTCATAACTTGAGTATCCAATGTGTTGTTTCTCTCTTTGAATGTAGCTTGATTTTGGAACTCCTGGTGTAGAAAAACTCTGCAAATAAGTGAAAAATATCGAATGTAATTAAATGGCATTTAATACAATTTTTATTCTCATTCAGATATGCTTATGTTTAGTTATTTTAGAAATCTATTTAATCACTCTCAGAAATCTGTAGTGATTTAAAACAACACATGAAAATATCTTATTTTAGTAAAATAATTCCTGGCTGCTTTCAAATAACCATTAAATACTTGTAAAATAGTTCCTTCATACTGGTTTAGATATTGGGCAATCCAGTTTCCATACTAAAGTAAAAAGCAAACATTACAGGAGAAAATTTACATAAGAAAAGCAAGTATTTCTTTTTTTTATCATACTATAGTACCAAGGTCCATACTCTAGTATTGCACAATTGTGAATGTTAGTACTGTACTAACACAAAATTAAATTTGTTGCTTTTATGAAATATTCCATTTGTCTTTTTTGTATGATCATATGCACACATTTTAAAATACATGACTAATTGTTTTCACAGCATATGTTATCATAACATTATTTATGTCACATAAGCAGAGTTTCGTCTCGGCATAGAATTGTTTTATGATAGAGGTTCATGCTAAAACTTAATTTCCCCAGCATAACATGTTACTTTTTGGCAATTAAAAATCTCCATTCATAAATTTACTTTTCTATTCCAGGGACCATAAGGAAACATGTCCCTGAACATTTAAAAATGTCATTTTAAAACAGATCTGAGAAAGTATGAATCTGTAGGCCTTTATTTTAAGATTTTTTTTTAACTGAATGGAATATTTTATTTTTTTAAGTTTTATTTTAAGTTCAGGGTTATATGTGAAGGTTTGTTATATAGGTAAACTGTGTGTTACAGCGATTTGGTGTACAGATTATTTTGTCACCCAGGTAATAAGCATAGTACCCAATTGGTGGGGTTTTTTTTTTATCTTCTCCCTTCTACTCTCCACTCTAAAGTGATCCCCAGTGTCTGTTGTTCCCCTCCTTGTGTCCATGAGGTCTCATTGTTTACTTCCCACTTATAAGTGAGAACATGCAGTATTTGTTTTTATATTCCTGCATTAGTTTGCTTAGGATAATGGTGAGAATTTTTTATATTTACTGAAAAACATTATACTGGCTATCTTCTCCATTCATACAAGAATGGTTCAAAACTTTAAAATATATATATTTGTTGCCCACCATTTTGTGGCAGGCACTGCCTCTGATTAGAGATTAGAAGGTGTTTCAGAAGGAGTTTGGGGAATTATAGTCAGAGAGATAGGCAGACCACTAGGAGAGTATTAGCCTGAAAGTGTTCAGGAAACATTAAGTATCAAATATCTATAGAGAGATCAGATAAGGTGAAGTCTTAAAATAGGCTTTTGGATTTGATATCTAACATATTACTGGGACACTCAGTGAGAGCAACTTTAACAATGTGCTTTAACAGAATGCTGAGCTTGGTTACCATGTATCCTTGAAATAAAAGTACAGTGAGAGCTTTGTTGGGGAAAAGTTTAATTTGTTAGCAGAGACTGAGATGAACCTTTTCCACGGCTTTTCCTAAGGAACTTTAGGCACATTCTTTCTTGTCTTGGGCACTATCTTTCCCTTATCAATATCCATGTCACTTCAACTTTTTGTCTTATTTTGCCTCTTCCACCTCCAATCCTGCCCCTACTTCTTGGAAATTACTACCACTACTTTTTGACTGAGGTAGCTACAAAAAACAGCTCTGACTCACTTCTTTTTTGAGTCTCTTATCCACCTCTTGTACCAATATTGCTTTGCTTTTGGTGGCTATAATTAAGGGTAATACTGATACACACACTGCACCACAGGTGATTGCATCACCCTTGTCATTCTCTCTCACTACCCTCTGAGCTTTTATTTTGTAGTACTTATCACAATTTTTAATTATATACATATTCACCTGTTTAATGTATGTTTCCCTACACTATAGTATAGTTCCATAGGTCAAGACAATAACGTTTTTCATCATTGTTTAAATACCACAGGTCTTGGCACATACTAGGCACCAGTAGGTTTAACGAATTGGTTGAATGAATGAAAAAGTTACATTCCTCAATTAGTTTCATTCAGTTTTAAAAGATTATCTGACCCAGGCTTTCTATAACCTTTAAGGGTCACCATTTTTCCCCTGTTCACCTAGTCTTCTAGGAAAAAGCTGAGCTATTCAATTTTAGTCCTCTTTAAAGGGTAAATTGTTGATTATGTGGACACACACATTGAATGACGCCCTCAATGAGCTACATCGATTGCATAAACCCCTTCTCTGGAGCATAGGAAGAACCTGTGACTTGCATCTGGCCAATATGGAGAAAATGATAGGGAATATCAATACAATAGTTACTCTCTTGAATACATTGTTATTTAGGACTCCATCCTAGCAGAATGGAGCTAGCCATTCTTCTGCTGGCCTTGAAGAGATAAACTGCAATATTGTGAGAGGGTCTATCAGAGGGCCCTGTAGCAACTGCAAGTGGCTTCTAGGAGCTGACAGTGGCCTTTAGATGACAGCTAGCAAGGAAAAGGGTAGGAAAGAGAATGAAGTTCTATAGTTGCAAGGAAGTGGATTCTCCCAACAAATGCATGAGCTTGGGAGAGGACCCAAACTCCAGATGAGAATGCAGTCTGCTTGACACCTTGATCACAGCATTGAAAGACCCTGAGTGGAGGACCCAGATAAGCCATATTCAGACTCCTGATTCATGGTGCTATAGTTTGGATAACTGACCCCTCCAAATCTCATGTTGAAATTTGATCTCCAGTGTTGGAGGTGGGGCCTAGTGGGAAGTGTTTGGGTCATGGGGGCAGATTCCTCATGAATGATTTGGTGCCATTCTCTCAGTAGTGAGTTCTCAGTCCATTAATTCCCATGAGGGCTGGCTGTTAAAAAGAGCCTGTCACCTCCCTGCTCTTGCTTCCTTTCTCACCATGTGATTTATGTACATGCCAGCTTTCCTTCATTTTCTGCCATTAGTGGAAACAGATTGAGGCTTTCACCAGACTCCCGGTCATCTAGCCTGCAGAATCATGAGCCAAGTAAACCTCTTTTCTTAATATTACCTAGCATTAGGTATTCCTTTATAGCAAAACAAAAACAGACCAAGACAGAAAGTTGGTACCAAGGGTGGGGCATTGCTATAAAGATACCTGAAAATGTGAAAGCAGCTTGGGAACTGGCTAATGGGCAGAAGTTAGAAAAGTTTGGAGCACTCAGAAGAAGACTGGGAGACAGGTGAAAGTTTGGAACTTCTTAGAGATTCGTTGTGGTTGTGAGCAAAATGCTCATAGAAATATAGACAGTAAAGGCCATGCTGATGAGGTCTCAAATGGAAATGAGCAACTTAATGGTAACTGGAGAAAGGTCATTGTGACACTGTAGCAAAGAACTTGGCTGCATTGTGTCCATGCCCTAGGGCTTTGTGGAAGGCTGAACTTAAGAGTGATGACCTAGGGTATCTGGTGAAAGAAATTTCTAAGTAGCAAGGCATTCAAGAGTGGCATGACTACTTTTAACAACTTACAATATTATCTGGGAGTAAAGGGATGACCTAAAGTTGAAATTTATGATTAGAAAGGAAGCAGAGTGTAAAAGTCTGGAAAATTTGCAGCCTGGCCATGTGATAGAGAAGAAAAGAGTGTTTTCAGGAGAGGAATCCAAGGATGTTGTGGAACTACCACTTGCTAAAGAGATTACCATGACTAAATGGAAGCCAGGCGCTAATAGTCAAGACTATGGGTAAAAGGCCCAATCACAGGCCCAGAGACCTAAGAAGACAGAATGGTTTTGGGAGCCAGGCCCAGGTTCTGCTGTCCTGTGCTGTCTCAGGATGTTCCTTCCTACATCCCCACCACTTCGGCTCCAGCTGTGGCTCAAAGGGCCCCAGGTACTGCTCAAGCTACTGCTCCAGAGGACGCAAGCTGTAAGCCTTGGTGGCATGCATATGGTGTTATATCCACAGGTGCTCAGAATGCAATAGGGGTTGGAGTCCCCACAACTGGTGCCTACTAGGGCAGTGCTACCACCCTCCAGACTCCAGAATTATAGAGCCCCTGGAAGTGTGCGACTGCAGCCTCGTAAAACTGTAAGCATTGGACTGCAACCCATGAGAGCAGCCACGTGGGTGCACCTAGCAGAACCATGGGAGTGGAGCTTCTTGAGGTCTTCACAGCCCACCCTGCCTACCAGTGTGCCCAGGATGCAAGACATGGAGTCAAAGTAGATTATCTTGGAGCTTTAAGATTTGATGTCTGCTCTGCTGGGTTTTGGAATTGTGTAGGGCTTATTCCCCCTTTCTTTTGGCTAATTTCTCCCTTTTGGAATGGGAATATTTACTGAATGCCTGTACCACCATTGTGCCTTGGAGTTAAATAACTTGTTTTTTAATTATACAGGCTCACAGTTGTAAGTAAATTGCCTTGAGTCTCAGATAGGACTTTGAACTTTAGATTTCTGAGTCGATGCTGGAACAAGTTAAAGTTTTCGGGAACTATTGGGATAAAATTATTGTATTTTGCTTGTGAGAAGGACATGATACTTAGGCGTTCAGGGGTAGAATGCTATAGTTTGGATATTTGACCCTTCCAAATCTCATGTTGAAATGTGATTCCCAGTTTTGGAGGTGAGGCCTAGTGTGTCATGGTGGTTGATTCCTTATGAATGGCTTGGAGCCACTCTCTCAGTAGTAAGTGACTTCTTCCTCTATTACTTCTCATGAGAGCTGACTGTTAAAAAGAGCCTGGAAATCTCCTTGTATCCTCTCTTGCTACGTGATCTCTGCACATGCCAGCTCCTTTTTGCCTTCTACCATGAGTGGAAGCAGCCTAAAGCCCTCACCAGAAATAGATGTTGGTGCCATGTTTCTTGTACAGCCTGCAGAACCATGAGACAAATAAACTTTTCATTTTTATAAATTACTCAGCCCCAGGGTTTTTTATAGTAACACAAAATGGACTAAGACACACAGAAACTGTGAGATAATAAGTATGTGTTTTTATAAGTTGACAAGTCTGATAATTTGTTATGCAGCAATAGGGAACTAATACACAGATCAAAACTGATTCTGAAGCCACCTACATTTAAGACCGGCCAGCTTCCCCTCTATATTCTCAATATTACCCTTTCCTCTTTTCTTACTGAGGTTTTCTCTTTTTGAGTTTCCACATGTATTGACCCAAAATGAGTTCAGTGCCATTCTCTCTTATTTAATTCTCTTAATGATTTTACATGTCTCATGAAAGTTCTTTTTTTTCAGTTCTATCTTTCATCACTTGTCCTCATAGATGATATATCTTTCCTAATATATGCTAAGTACATTAGAAAAACCTGTTTTTATTCAATCACACAGCTGGCATTTTGTCTTACTGCATAATCAAAATCCTTAAAACTACAAATCTGTGTTTCCTTAATTTATCACTGTGAGGTCACTCATTAATTCACAGTGCGGTTTTTTGGAGGAATGTTATTTTGCTATGCGGTCAACCAAAAATGTCCCCCTCTCAAAAGAACCACAACTTATTATGTTAACAAATACCAGTTATCCATTTTTGGTGAACTAGCTCCATTTTTCTATAATTCATTGCACTTATCAAGAAAATTCATAAAGATAACTTTCTGCTGATAATCTGTTTTGCTGTTTTCTCTGATTGATATTTTTAAACACTTCTACAAGGAAATACTTTGCATTCTATGTTATTTGTTAACATGTCTTATAGCTAGTGATCAGTAATTAGCTAGTGTTCAACATTACCTTGAGCAATGTACTATTTAATGTATTATTTAAGTGGACTGAAACACAAAATGGCAGTTGCCTTGCTAAATTATGGTAATTTAATGACTTCAAAAACATAAGACCTTTCTCATCTCTGGGTTAACCAGTCTAATGGCATTTAATCAGTTTTCATTTGATCTGAAATCTCCTTCTAAAGATTCAAATTTAAATATACATTATGAATACTTATATATAGGTATGTTAATACGTATTAAGTATTATATATACTATACATTTGGTTCATATTTCCTAATCCCATTTTACAAAATAAAATAGTAATGACAGTGAGTCATATAAACTAAACTTCCTGAACATTTGTCTTGAAGTTTGTCTAATTCTGCCTGACATAATTTGTCTAATTCTATCATATCATTTTGCTATAGTGAGGTCTTAGTATTTATTATATTACCTTTACTTGAATTATTACGTTGATAACCATATATGGAGATTGAGATGCATAATACATACAAAGAATGGCTTCATTTGCGTGGTTGATAAATGCTTGTTCCCATAATTTGCTTAGGTTTTATTGTTCCTTGAGAGCCACATCAGTCATAAGATGGGTAGACGTAAAGACTGTCCTGTTTGGACTCATGAGTCATAAGGCTATTTTAAATGAAAAAAAATAAAATAAATATTATAGGATACTTTAAAAACTCAATCATAAAGTGTTACGTGTTATGAAATCGAATGTTATGACTATATTCTGTGGGAAACGAATAAATGAAGTCATTCAGAAGTTACATTAGATTGACATAGCAGACATAACAAAATAATGGCATTCTCATAAAACTGAAATAATGAAACAGTTCTCTTTTTATTCTATTTCTCACTCAAACTAGGGTTCTTGTTAAGGAATATTTTCTGTGTTCTTTCTCAGGATGTCTGATAAATTACTATGATACTTAAATAAATGAAGTACAATTTTTAAAATCTTACAGATTAATTTTAGTCAGTACTGACTTTTTTCTCAGGAAATGTGTAAAAGAGCTATCTTCTGCTCTAATATAATCACAATTATGTAGATATTCACAGTAAGAAACATTGTTATCTCTATGTTCTGTTCCCTGAAACCCTACCTTCTACCAAAAGATAAGTACATAAAACTATCTACTAAAATTATTCCCAAATAACATTCTGCTTTCTCTCTTTTTAGTATTTACATGCTTTAACATCTCTTTTAAGGTAACTTACTTGTAATTTATTCCAGAGAACCGAGGAAGTGGAGATACAGTTCTTCTGGGAAGGGCCCTCTGAAGGGATGAGCTCCAGAGATTCTGCACATTGATTTTTTGAGGGAAGAGAAGAAATGGTTAGCCATGATTTTAGGGAAGTTTGAAATATAATATATAATAGCTCACATTAATTCTACATTCTAATCTTTAAATATCAAGATAGCTCCAGGACTAATCTTTGGAAATGACAAATAAAGGTAATTGCTAAAGGGAAAATGTTTATATATTATATTGACCACATAGCAAGTCTCTTTCTATTTCTATCTATCTGTCTATTGTTTGCCTATCTATCTATCTGTCGTCTTCATCACCATCATCATCTATCTATATAGGGATATCGAATGGCCCACTGAAGAGTAAGTGCAAATTGAAGATACGTTTCAGTCACCACTCTAAGCAGTAAGTGACCTTTCCATCCAAAAGGGTTAAACTTAAATCCCCCTTCCCATTGTCATAGTTTGAAAAACACGTATCTCTAGAGGAAACACAGAAGACAAAAATAACTCAGGCAGCAAATACTTAGGTTGAATACAGAGACCTGCAACATCAAATAGCCACAACATATTCTAGAGGGTTTTGGAGGGAAACTAATCCATACAAATCAACTGATAAAGACTTGGTACTTAAAGACCATACTCTGAGTCAATACATAAGTAAAGACTAAATTGCAAGAATATGGGCATTGAAGCAAGAATTTGGCATTTAAAACAGACATTAGGCATATAATATTGGATCCAAACAAGATCTACACAGAACCTATTCTTGTAGCCACACCAGTTAAGAGTATGTACATATACAATATGTATTGTATGTATGTCTATGTATATACATATTATGACATGATCATTTTGATTGATTGATTTTGAAATCAAATGTATTTTTACGTAGCCACTTTGATAACAGTTATTTTTCCATGAGGAAATTTGATGCAGTCTATAAAATAATTCATTGCCCTTTGATTTAAAAAGATTAAATAGTTTGTGAAATTATATACCATGAACTACTCCTAAGTTTCATCTAATGCCCACAACCACCCTTGAGGGGTAGAGATTCTTAGATTGGTAATGATATCAAGGGTAAGATAGAGGTTAAGTATTATATGAAAAGACAAACCGATACAAACAGGAAAAAAAAGACAGACCCAGTATGTGTCCTCTGTTGTTTAGATACTCTTTTTTTGTCTTTCAGCTCTCCTATTCTGCCTCTTTTCTGCAATCTTCTTTATAATAAAACAGAAAATTACAATAAAACAAAGAGAAAACCATGACTTTTGAAGTGTGAGTTCAATGAAGATTGGCAAGAAAGCTTCACATGTGCCTACGGCCAGTCCCTCTGACCTTTGCTTCCTGTTGTCATAGTGGGCAGAATCAAGGGTTCCAGACCATTCCATGTTCTTAAAGGGGCCACCTTTCCTTCCATGGTGGACTTAATTTCATTGGTCTAGGCTTCTTTCTCTTATCAGGCAAGAAAGAGTAGTATATCTGTTGGGATGAAACAAGGCCTATATAAAATTTGGATTTGGGGGACCTAAACACAGACTCTTTAGCTTCAGCAGTGTGGATGTGTTAGGGAGGATTCCTTTGGAAGCAGTAAGGGTCTCCAAATGTAGAGGGATGGCTGTGTGCCTCCTTTTTTTTTTTTTTTTTTTTTTTTTTACCAGTTTGGACCGAATTTAAACTTATTAATCCAAACCCAGTCCTTGATCCAACTAGGTAGATATAGAAAATTGTTCTAAGCAAAACTTAAAGAGTAGAAAATTATAAAGTAGATGGCAGGGCCAAAGAGTAACGGCAATGGTGAGATTATTTTTGAGATCCGGTCTCAGAAAGAGTGGCGATGGTAGTGGCTATAAGAGTGTGGCACTCCACTCATATGTGCACATGAGGGTACAGAAAAAAAAAACCAGCAGCTAGTTAGTGAAGGCAGGTTTCTCTGGAAGTAGTGACCATCTCAAACTCGGGAGGTAGGGCGACCATATAATTTCTTGTCCAAACCAGAACACTTATGAGAGTGGCAGTGGCAGCAGTTAACGTTTACATTAAAATAACAGGCAGAAGTGTGTAAAGGGACATTTATAGCACTAAATGTCCACAAGAGAAAGCAGGAAAGATCTAAAATTGACACCCTGACATTACAATTAAAAGAACTAGAGAAGCAAGAGCAAACACATTCAAAAGCTAGCACACGGCAAGAAATAACTAAGATCAAGCAGAACTGAAGGAGATGGAGACACAAAAAAACCTTCAAAACACCAGTGAATCCAGGAGCTGGTTTTTTGAAAAGATCAACAAAATTGGTAGACCGCTAACAAGACTAGTAAAGAAGAAAAGGGAGAAGAATCAAATAGACACAATAAAAAATGATGAAGAACAGACAAACAGAGAGCCAAATCATGAGTGAATTCCCATTCACGATTGCTACAAAGAGAATAAAATACCTAGGAATCCAACTTACAAGGGATGTGAAGGACCTCTTCAAGGAGAACTACAAACCACTGCTCAAAGAAATAAAAGAGGACGCAAACAAATGGAAGAATATTCCATGCTCATGGATAGGAAGAATCAATATTGTGAAAATGGTCATACTGCCCAAGGTAATTTATAGATTCAATGCCATCCCCATCAAGCTACCAATGACTTTCTTCACAGAATTGGAAAAAGCTACTTTAAAGTTCATATGGAACCAAAAAAGAGCCTGCATTGCCAAGACAATCCTAAGCCAAAAGAACAAAGCTGGAGGCATCACACTACCTGACTTCAAGCTATACTACAAGGCTTCAGTAACCAAAACAGCATGGTACTGGTACCAAAACAGAGAGATAGACCAATGGAACAGAAATAACACCACACATCGACAACCATCTGATCTTTGACAAACCTGACAAAAACAAGCAATGGGGAAAGGATTCCCTTTTTAATAAATGTTGCTGGGAAAACTGGCTAGCCATATGCAGAAAGCTGAAACTGGATCCCTTCCTTACACCTTATACAAAAATTAATTCAAGATGGATTAAATGTTAGACCTAAAACCATAAAAACCCTAGAAGAAAACCTAGGCAGTACCATTCAGGACATAGGCATGGGCAAGGACTTCATGACTAAAACACCAATAGCAATGGCAACAAAAGCCAAAATTGACAAATGGGATCTAATTCAACTAAAGAGCTTCTGCACAGCAAAAGGAATTACCATCAGAGTGAACAGGCAACCTACAGAATGGGAGAAAAATTTTACAATCTACACATGTGACAAAGGGCTAATATCCAGAATCTACAAAGAACTCAAACAAATTTACAAGAAAAAAACAACCCCGTCAAAAAGTGGGCAAAGGATATGAACAGACACTTCTCAAAAGAAGACATCTATGCAGCCAGCAGACAGAAGAAAAGATGCTCATCATCACTGGTCATCAGAGAAATGCAAATCAAAACCTCAATGAGATACCATTTCACACCAGTTAGAATGGCAATCATTAAAAAGTCAGGAAACAACATATGCTGGAGAGGATGCGGAGAAATAGGAATGCTTTTACACTGTTGGTGGGAGTGTAAATTAGTTCAACCATTGTGGAAGACAGTGTGGCGATCCCTCAAGGATCTAGAACTAGAATTACCGTTTGGCCCGGCAACCCTATTACTGGGTATATACCCAAAGGATTATAAATCATGCTGCTACAAAGACATGCACACGTATGTTTATTGCGGCACTATTCACAATAGCAAAGACTTGGAACCAATCCAAATGTCCATCAGTGATAGACTGAATTAAGAAAATATGGCACATATACACCATGGAATACTATGCAGCCATAAAAAAGGATGAGTTCATGTCCTTTGCAGGGACATAGATGCAGCTGGAAACCAACATTCTGAGCAGACTATCACAAGGACAGAAAACCAAACACCACATGTTCCCACTCATAGGTGGGAATTGAACAATGAGATCACTTGGACACAGGGCAGGGAACATCACACACTGGGGCCTGTTAGGGGGTTGGAAGCTGGGGGAGGGATAGCATTAGGAGAAACACCTAATGTAAATGATGAGTTGATGCGTGCTGCAAACCAACATGGCACATGTATACCTATGTATCAAACCTGCACGTTGTGCACATGTACCCTAGAACTTAAAGTATAATTTAAAAAATTAATAATAACAGACAGATACTGGGACTGTCCTGGTCACCCTACTTTGAAGTCACAATTGGCGGACCCAAAGCTGAGCCTCCCCATGTTCTCCAGAAACATAGTCAATGTGACTTCCACTTTCTTCATCAAAAGAAATTTAACTTCCATGTCTTATTTCAAAAACCTTTGACACACCCTTTTGAGTATTGTATAGGCACAATCAGGGATTCCATTTTTCCACAGCCACAGTGAGGGGGATGCTGTGAGAATCTGGGACAGTTGTGTCCAATGCACCATTAAGCCATGGTTCAGCTTGCAAATTTCAAAGTATAAATATGAAGTCATGTGAAGGGGGCTCATTAGGACATAAGTGTAGGAAAGTGAGCAGATTCCCATTTAAATTTATGATCAAATTGCAAAACATCATCTGCAGGCTGGGAAAAGTAACTAAATGAAGAGAAGTTTGTGGGACTCACTGATAACATTCCAAAGATCAGAAATGTTGTGCACAAGAAGATATGAAGGTACGTCTAATCTATGTGGAACAGCCTGAGTAGGAGCCCTGTGTATTTGAAGTAACAGGCAAAGGAGTTGCACTATTCATTCTCCTCCCTAATGCCAATGAAGTTTTTCCAATTGTTACAGAATAAAGACTGTATCTAGGGAAGCAATGCTCAGAACAAGGAGTACACTGAACAATGGAAGGCTAGATCTGGGTTTCTCAGATGAATTGAAGGCTTTAAAATTTATGATAAAGAATTTCCAGAAGTTCAACAGCACTGCTCAGCCTATCCTACAATTCCCTAATTAATTATTTTTCTACTCTCTGAGACAAATATTTCACTATCTTCTCTCCCTTAAAACCTCCAGCTTCTGCATGTTGTTTATTCCCAGATAACCTCACTTCTTATTTCACAAATAAAGTAGAAACAATCAGAAGAGAACTATTTCATCTTCTCACCACCAAATTTACCAACCTATCTGCCTCTGTATTAATACACTCTGCTGTGAATAAACTTTCTCTGCTTGTATAAAAGACACAGCCTTCCAAATGTTCTCAGGATTCCTCCTCTTCTTGCCTCCCCAGAGCCTTTACTCATGCAATAATTTCCGTTTTGTCCTACATTTACACTTTATTCTTTTCTATTGGATCATTTCTATTAACATATAGATGTGAATTCCATAAAAACCATTAATTCCACATTTTCTCTTAGCCACTGCCTCATTTTTCTGCTGCCTATCATTATAAAACATCTCAAAGAAAGTTGTCTACCCTAATTTTCAACACTCCTTCACCACTCTTTCAGTTTTCAATTTATTTCAGGCTTGCTTCTGTTCCCACCTCTTTGCTGAAAGTGCTTTTGTCAAGGTTATCAACCACCTCCATGTTGCCAAATCTAATAGTAATTGCTCTGTCCTCCTCTGATTTGATCCCTCAGTAGCACTTCTTAATACAGTAGACCTTTCTGTATTTCTTGAAATACTTTCTTCTTTCTCTTTTCTGGTATGCCACCACACTCTCTGGGTTTTTCTCTTATTGCTATTTCTGATTTACCCTAATTCCTTTTACCAACCCAGCTACTTTTTCACTACCTGACCTCTAAGTGTTGAAGTATCTAAGGGCTTGTTACTAAGCTCTTTTTTCCTCTGAATCTATACTCTGGCCGTAAGTCCATTAACATGACTTTAAATAGCACCCATATCCTGATAACAAGTTTATATTTTTCAGCCCATGCTTGTCTCCTGAGATCTATATTCACATATCCAACTGTCTATTCACTATTTCCACTTGGATTTCTGATAGGCATCTCCAGTTAAACATGTCAAAACCAAAATTTTTTATCCTTTCTCACCACCAGCCTCAAACCTGCTCTGCCTCCCATGTTCCTTACCCATCTAGTTACTCAAACCAAAATATTTATGGTCATGCTTGATTTCTGTCTTTCCTTCATGCCCCGTGTTCAGCCAGTCAGCAAGTTTTGTTTGTTCTATTTATAAAACAGACCTCGAAGCCCACTTCTCTCTATCTCCATTGTCACCACTGTAGTTCAAGGCATCATCTCTTTCTTAGACTTCTATCAGATTCTGGACTCTTCTTCCTGCTTATAGTCATGGCCCCTTCCAAACCATCCTCTTTACAACATTTAGAATTATTACCATAGAGGCAGTGCTCCTGTATGACTTTCCACTGAACTGACAACAAAACCAAATATCTTACTGTATCCTACAAAGCCCAGCATGACACATCTACCTTATCAACATTTCAGCCATGTTGAATTTCTTTCTTTGAAAACATCAAGCCCATTTTTTCCTAAGGATTTTTGTAGTAGTTCTTCTCTCTATTTAGAAAGTTGTTTCCCTTTTTATATAGAAGGGTTTTCCTCAGTCTTTATTCTCAATTCAAATATCTCTTCAAACTCTTGCCTAACTTTTCCAATTAATGTTATCCACTCCCAAGTCACTATTACATCATCCTGTTTTATTTTATTTATAGAATTTATCACAATCTGAAATTATTTTATTTACTTGCTTATTTGTTTATTGTCTTCCTTCTCTCCCTTCTTGAATGTAAATACTATGAGGACAAGACTCAATATGAGATACCACTCTTTCACCAATGTATAGAACGGTTTTAGGCATATAGTAGGCATTCAATAAATTTTGTTGAATGAATCAATGAATGATATCTACTGAACAGTGATGAGTGCATTTTTATGCTAAAGACCAAAAGGAATAACATTGGTTCCTTCTCCTATAGAGTCTGTAATCTCAATGCTGTGACCCTATACTTTAATGGTCTCTTGAAATATCCAAGATAATGCTAAGCACAGATGATGAGTAATCTCAGCAATAAATGAGGCAAAGTGAACTCTCAATCAGAACCAATCCACTATCCAGGATCCTTTAATTTTCCATCCTTCTGGCTAACTGCCTTTTGTTATCTTTGTGCCCTCATAAGAAGAATAAGAACAAGAAACACAATTTGTTACTCAAACTAATCAATTTGGCTTCTATTATCAGCTTTAGTCCAAGGTTGGTAGAAGAAAATGTTCTAAAAGGAAATTGGATTACTTTTTTTGTTTGAAGATTTAATACATACATATTTCCTTTAGTCTCACTTCTTGATCAGAACTAAAGATAATTAAGCATTGGGTATTTAAGATCTGGCGAATGAATAGTGGTCACATAACCCCTGTGCGTATTCACAGGGGATAAGTGAGTCAAGGAAATAAAAGAAAGTCAAAGAGGTAATTAGTCTTCAACCCCCTACTCTAGGATTACTCCAACAATTAGAGAGGAATTGTTTCTTTTCCTGTCTTTGCTCCAAATAATAGCCTTATCCAAAAACATAGTGACTCACAGAACCCTATGAGCTCTTCTGGATCAGCTGTGAAGTGAATTTTAACTTTCTCAATGCTCTTTAATGCATGCCAGATAGGCTTGTGAAATGAAAAGAAAAGTTTCACATCCAGGATTTTTAAAAAAAGCCATAAATGTATAGCAAGTATATATAAATGGGAGGAGTGGCCAAGATGGCTGACTAGAAGCAGCTAGTGTGCGTGGCTATCATGGAGAGGAACAGAAGCAGTGATAAATATAACACCTTCAACTGAAACATCCAGGTACTGACATTGGGATTAATCAAGGAAACAACTTGACGCACAGAGAATGAAGAAAAGCAAGACAGGACAACAACCCACCTGGGAGCAACAGGGAGCCAGGGGATCCTCCCCCACTGAGGGAAGCAGTAAGTGAATGAACGACCCTGGGAAACTACACTTCTCCCACAGATCTTTGCAACCCTTAAGTCAGGAGATCTCCTTGCAAACCCACTCCACCAGAGCCTTCAGTCTTCAGTCTGACAGACAGAGCTACATGGAGTCCTGGCAAAGCAGCTGCTCGGGCATGCATGGAGGCCTTTGAAGACTTAGATACTCAGGCATTCCAGCAAAAGTAGCTGCAGCTTTGGCAAAGTGAAAAGTTACACTCCTGTACATACTCCTAGGAAAAAGGCTGAATCCTTGGGGTTGAGCAGCAACAGCCCACAAGCCTCACTTCCACGGCACTACGCAAGATAAGACCCACTGGCTTGGAATTCCAGCCAGCTACCAGTGGCGGCATTGCACCTCACTAAGAAGGAGCTCCCGTGGAAAGGGGCGGGCCGCCATCTTTGCTGTTCAGGTACCTTAGCCATTCCAGCCTTCAGGCTTTGGAGAGTTTGAGCTGACCCGGGGCAGAAGGGATCCTCCAGCACAGCACAGCTGCTCTACCAAAATGTGGCCAGACTGCTGCTTTAAGCAGGTACCTGGTCCTGATCCTCCTCGCTGGGCAGAATCTCCCAACTGGGGTCTCCAGCCTTCCCCACTAGAGCTGTCTAGCTGACAGAGATCTGAATTCTCCCTGGGATGGTACTCCCAGAGAGAGGGGTGGGATGCCATCTTTGCTGTTTGGATGACTTAGCCATTCCAGCCTTTGGCCTTCAAAGTGCTTTGCTCTTTGGGTGACTTAGCCATTCCAGCCTTTGGCCTTCATAGTCTGTGAGGTGACAGGAGGCTGAAGTGGACCCCTAGCACAGCATGGCTGCTCTACCAAAACGTGGCCAGACTGCTTTTTTAAGTGGGTGCCTTTCCCATTCTTCCTCACTGGGTGGGACCTCTCAACTGGGGTCTCCAGCCGCTTCCTGAAGGTGCCTTTGGTCCAGCAACAGGTCCATACCTCCCTGGGACAAAGCTCCCACAGGGAAGGACGGGCTGCCATCTTTGCTATTTTGCAGGCTTCACTGGTGACACACCTCCAGGTTCTGGAAAATCCGAGGTGACTAGGGACTGGAACAGGCCCCAAGCATACCGCAGCAGCCCTATGGAAAGGTGGCCAGACTGTTACGTGGGTGCCCATTCCCGTATCTCCTCACTGGGCAGGTCCTGCAGGCCTGGACCTGCAGCCACCCCCCACCAGAGCTACTGAGCCAGTACCAAATCAGTAACTCTCTGGACAGAGGCCCCAGGGGCAACTGACAGCCACTTGGTCACTGCCTCTACAGTGGAACTGCCCTTGCCACCCTTGGACTAATGAACGAGCAAAGACCTTAAGTGCCCTATCCACCCCTCCAACAAGCTGCAGTTGACCCAAGGAGAGGAGGCCAGTCCATCTCCCTTAGGCCCCGCATACCCTCCATGGCTCATCACCAGAAAGGGAATGCCTGGCTTGGGCCCACAGCACAAACCCTCCATCTTGGGCTGACTGCACTAAGTGATTGCTGACCTGCATCGCTATGGATTGAAGCCTCTAGGAATAAGCGAAGGACCCTTGGCCACAATCCCCACTAGGATTTCTTTCTCTGCTGCCTCTAAGCTGGGGAAGGAGCATAAACACTGAGATTGCCCCAGAGCTGCAGTGCCTAGCATTGGAGTGCCAAGTCACAAACTATAGCCAGCACTCAAGAGGGAGAGGAACCCACACTTTCAGAGCACTGAGAGGGAACAGAGCTGCAACTGTGAGGAAACACAGGGAAGCCATATAACCAAGCAAAACTCTACCAAAGACGTAAAGACAGAAATACCGTTCAAAGACACCAAGAGCAACTTCAACAAAAGCAAAAATTGGCAAATGGGATATAATTAAACTTTGAAGCTTCTGCACAGCAAAATAAACTATCAACAGAGTAAGCCTACAGAATGGGAGAAAATATTTGCAAACTATGTATCTGACAAAGGTCTAATATCCAGCATCTATAGGGAACTTAAATTAAAAGAGATACCATCTCACACCAGTCAGAATAGCTATTATTAAAAAGTCAAAAAATAACATGCTGGTGAGGTTGTGGAGAAAAGGGAACCCTTATACACTGTGGTGGGAGTGCAAATTAGTTCAACCATTGTGGAAAGTAGTGGCGATTCCCCAACAAGCTAAAAGCAGAAGTACCATTCAACCCATCAATGTCATTACTGGGTGTATAGCCAAAGGAATATAAAGCATTCTACCATAAAGACACATGTACATAAATGTTCATTGCAGCACTGTTCACAATAGCGAAGACATGGAATCAACCTAAATGCCCATCAATGACAGACTGGATAAAGAAAATGTGGTACATATACACCATGGAATATTATACAGCCATAAAAGAACGAGGTCATTTCTTTTGTGGAACATGGATGGAGCTGGAGGCTATCATCCTTAGCAAACTTAACACAGGAACAGAAAACCAAATACCGCATGTTCTCACTTATAAGTGGGAGTTCAATGATAAAAATTTATGAACACAAAGAAGGAAGCAGAAGACACTGGGATCTACTTGAGAAGGGAGGGTGGAAGGAGGGAGAGGAGCAGAAAAAATAACTCTTGGGTACTGAGTTTAATACCTGGGTGATGTAATAATATGTACAACAAACTCCCGTGACACATATTTATCTATGTAACCAACCTTCACATGTACCCCTAAACCTAAAATTAAAATTCAAAAAAGAAAGTATATATAAATGGAGTTAAAATAACTCATTGAAAGCATAACTTACAATAGATCAGGGTATACAGTGGCACACGATACAATCTTAAAATTGGGCCTTAAAAGCCAGCAAAATAGAGCCAGAATCTCTATTAATTAAAATTATTGTTAATTAACAGTCCCCTATACTATGTTTAAATTCTCTATTGCCAGAAGCATAGAAATGTAATGAAATTAAGTATTTTAAATCTCTAAGTAAAACATTTCCCTACTTCTGATCTAAGTCACCCCCACACACAGGCATGAGTGCACACACACATGCACAAAAGCACACACAAGTATACATTTATGTGAACGTGCTGGAAGCTGCATTAAAATGCAGTCACCTTCCTTGAGTTCTATTTAACACCATTAAATAGTACCCTGAGGTACTGTAGACAAGAAAGAGTGAACGCATCTGCTAAAGGTGCACATTTTACAACTACAGAGAATTTAAATCCTGAGAGAATCTGACTCATGTTCCTCACAGATTTCTTCATTGGCACTACACCTAATAAAGACCATATGTTTTAAGTTTTTATAGGGACAGCACTGATTTTATGTAACATTTTTTCAATAAATGTTAATTATATAATATTATATATAATAAATTGCTAATGGTATTACCTGGATATGTTATGCCTGTGTAAAACTTTTAATGTAAATAAATAGATTTAAAAAAAACTTTTTTATACCACATGTCCTAATTTTTAGACCAGAAAATATAATTACTATACATGTATCACCTCTTATTTTAAAGAAATTCCTTTGTGAATTAGTGATGAGTAAGTGAACACAAAATTTAGTGGAATAAGACTGGGGATCATGGTCAAGTTTCTAGCATCAGTCCCTTTAATTTATATCCATGTGCTCTCCTTGGGTGATCACATATACCGACAGGTTTTCAGTACCAGCTTCACACTTTTTAACCTATTGGAGCCTTAGGTTCCTTAGTTTTTAAGTGGAACTAATAATAACAATGTCTGCCTCATAGTTTTCTGTTACGAATGCTAAATGAGATAATATGTATGAAGTGCTCAGTCCAGTGATTGGCAAGTTATATCTGCTCATTGTATGTCAATAAAGGGATGTCACTTCTTCAATTATTTATGTCATTTTTTATTGAGCACTTTCTATGTGTTAAGAATCTGGACACAGAGATACAAAAGACATAGATGTTATAGTTCTGGGGGAAGGGAAGACAGACAAGTAAATAGCCTTTGTCTCTAAAGAATGATGAGAGGAACAAGTGAGAGGACACATATGAATTACTTTAAAAATGAGGTGTGAAAAAAAGTGAGGGATTTCTGGTCATTTATACTTATTCATTTTTAATTTTTAATTTCTGTAGGTACATAGTAGGTGTATATATTTATGGGGTAAGTGATATATTTTGATACAGGCATACAACGTGTAATAATCACATCAGGGTAAATGGGGTATCCATCACCTCAAGCATTTATCCTTTCTTTGTGTTACAAACATTCAAGTTATAATCTTTTAATTATTTTAAAATACACAATAAATTATTGTTGACTGTAGTCACCGTGTTGTGCTATCAAATATTAGATCTTATTCAATATGTCTAACTAAATTGTACACCCATTAGTCATGTCCAATCCCCCAACCACTACCCTTCACAGCCTCTGGCAACCTTATTCTACACTCAGCCTCTGGCAACCTTATTCTACACTCTATCTCCATGAGTTCAAGTGTTTTAATTTTTAGCTCTCATGAATGAATGAGAACATGTGAAGTTTGTCTTTCTGTGCCTGGTTTATTTCACTTAACATAATGATATCCAGTTCCATGCATGTTGTTGCAAATGACAGGATTTCATTCTTTTTATGGCTGAATCGTACTTCATTGTGTATAGGTACCACACTTGCTTTCTCCATCTGTTGACCGACACTTATGTTGCTTCCAAATCTTGGCTACTGTAAACACTGCTACAATAAATGTGGGAATGCAGCTATCCCTTCCATATACTGCTTTTCTTTCTTTAGGGTATATACCCAGCAGTGGGATTGCTGGATCATATGGTAGCTCTACTTTCAGTCTTTTGAGGAGCTTCCAAAGCGTTCTCCGTAGTGATATACTAATTTACGTTCCCACCAACAGTGTATGAGGGTTCCCTTTTCTCCGCATCCTTGCTAGCAAATTTAATATGTGTTTACTAATTTGTGGGACCTGAAAATCAAAAGAATTGAACTCATGGAGGCAGAGAGCAGAGGAATGGTTACAAGACACTGCTAAGGGTAGTGGGGGGAGTGTGGGGAGGTAGGGATGGTTAATGGGTACAAAAATATAGAAAGAATGAATAAGCCTGTAATCCTAGCACTTTGGGAGGCTGAGGCGGGCTAATGTCGAGGTCAGGAGATCGAGACCATGCTGGCCAACATGGTGAAACCCCATCTCTACTAAAAATTACAAAAAAATTAGCTGGGCATGGTGGAGTGCGCCTGTAGTCCTAGCTACTTGGAGGCTGAGGCAGAGGAATCACTTGAACCAGGGAGGCGGAGGTTGCAGTGAACCGAGATTGTGTCACTGCGCTCCAGCCTGGCGACAGAGCAAGACTCCATCTCAAAAAAAAAAGAATGAATAAGATCTAGTATTTGATAGGACAACAGGGTGATTATAGTCAGTAATAATTTAATTGTACTTTTTAAAATAACTAAAAGAGTATTATTGAATTGTTTGTAATACAAAGGATACATGCTTGAGGGGATGGATACCCCATTTTTACATGATGTGATTATTACATATTCCATGCCTGTATCAAAACATTTGATGCCCCATAAATATATATACCTATTATGTACCCACAAAAATTAAAATAAAAAAATTTAAAGGTACTCAACATCATTGACCATCAGAGAAATGTATATCATAACTACAATGTTATAGCATCTCACCCAAGTTAAAATGGCTTTTTAGTTCAAAAGACAGGCAAATGCTGACGAAGATATGGAGAAAAGGGAACCCTCTACACTGTTAGTGGGAATGTAAATTAGTACAACCACTATGGAGAACAGTTTGGAGATTCCTCAAGAAACTAAAAATAGAAGTACTATAGGATCCAGCCATCTCCCTGCTAGCTATATACCCAAAAGTAAGGAAATCAAGATATCCAAGAGTCGTCTGCATTCTCAAGTCTATTGCAGCAATATTCACAATAACCAAGATTTGGAAGCAACCTAAATGTCCATCAACAGAATAGAGAAAGAAAATATAGTACATATGCACAATGGAATACTATTTAGCCATTAAAAAGAATGAGATTCAGTCATGCACAAAAACACAGACGAAACCGGAGGACATTATGTTAAGTAAAATAAGCCAGGCACATAAAGCCAGATTTTACATGTTCTCACTTATTTGTGGGAGCTAAAAATTAAAACACTTGAACTCATGGTAATATAAAGTAGAATGATGGCTACCAGAGGCTGAGAAGAGTAGTGGCAGGGGCAAGGGGTGGGGATTTTTATTGGGTTCAAAAATATAATTAGATAGAATGAATAAGATCTAGTATTTGGTGTCCAACAATGATAGACTGGATTAAGAAAATGTGGCACATATACACCATGGAATACTATGCAGCCATAAAAAATGATGAGCTCATATCCTTTGTAGGGACATGGATGAAATTGGAAATCATCATTCTCAGTAAACTATCGCAAGGACAAAAAACCAAACACCGCATGTTCTCACTCATAGGTGGGAATTGAACAATGAGAACACATGGACACAGGAAGGGGAACATCACACTCTGGGGACTGTTGTGGGGTGTGGGGAGGGGGGAGGGATAGCATTAGGAGATGTACCTAATGCTAAATGACTAGTTAATGGGTGCAGTACACCAGCATGGCACATGTATACATATGTAACTAACCTGCACATTGTGCACATGTACCCTAAAACTTAAAGTACAATAATAATAAAGTAAAATAAATAAATAAATAAATAAATAAAGATCTAGTATTTGGTAGCATAACAGAGTGACTACAGCCAACAATCATTTATTGTACTTTTAAAAATAACTAAAAGGGTATTAATAACTAAAAGGATTTTTTTGTAACACAAAGAAAGGTAAATTCTTGAAGTGATGTATACCCCATTTACATTGATGTGATTATTATGCATTGCATGCATGTATCAAAATAGCTCATATACTCCATACATATATACACCTACTATGTACCCAGAAAAATTAAAAATTAAAATTAAAAAAATTAAAATGAGAGAAATGTCTATTCGTATACTTTGCCAAATATTTAATTGGGTTATTTGTCCTTTTACTTTTGAGTTGTAGGAGCTCTTCAATATATTCTCGATACAAGTCCTTTAGCAGACATATGACTTACCAACATTTTCTCTCACTCTCTTACTCTCTTTTTACTTGCTTGGTGATGTCCTTTGAACACAAAATTTTAAAGTTTGATCATTTCCAGTCTACTTATTTTTCCTTTTATCAGTTATGCCTTTTGTGTCATATCTAAGAAACCATTGCTTATCCCAAGGTCACAAAGATTTGCACTTGTTTTCTTCTAAGAGTTGTATAGTTTTAGCTCCTTACATTTAGGTTTTTGATCTGTTTTTAGTTAATTTTATATGTTGTGTGAAGTAGATGTCCAGTTTCATTATTTTGTATATGGATATCCAGTTGTCCCAGGATGATTTTTTTGAGAAGACAAATCTTGTTCCCATTGGATTTTATTGGCACCCTTGTAAAAAAATCACTTGACAATAAATGTGAGGGTTTATTTTTGAACTCTCAGTTCTACTCCATTGATCAATATGTCTATTCTTATATCAGCACCTCACTGTCTTTTTTTGAAATCAGCCTACCTCATGCTTTGAAGTACTTCGCTGTCTTAATTACATCCTTTGTAGTGATGTATACATCCTCCATTTTTGTTCCTCTTTTTCAAGATTGTTTTGGCTGTTCTGGCACTCTGGCATTTGCATATGAATTTTAGCATCACAGTGTACTGCAAAAAAATGCAGTGGGGATTTTCATAGGGCTTGCATATTGTATCTGTATGTCAATTTGGGTAGTATTGTCATCTTAACAATACTAAGTCTTTTAATCCATAAACATGGGATGTCTTTTCATTTATTAAGGTCTTCTTTATTTCAACAATTTTATTTTACTTTATTTTTTCCTTAATTTATTTCAATGTTTTCTACTTTGTAGCTTTGTGCTTTTTTGTTAAATTTATTTCTAAGTAGTTAATTCATTTTGATACCATTGTAAATGAATCTATTTTTAAATTTCATTTCAGGATTCTTCATTGTTAGTGTATAGAAATAAAATTTATTTTTGTATATTGATCTTGTATCCGGCTCAATTTCAACCACAGGCTCAGTATAACCTGAGGTTACATTCAACTCCATGGCTGGTATGGGTTTGTAGGAATGTGTTTTGGTGTGCTCTGTTTCTTCCATTAAGAGCTGAAACCTTGGGATTTCCCCCCAGCCTTGAAGAATGCACACACTTATGAATTAATTCAACCTCCAATTCAATTGTCACATGTTCTCATAGTGATCTTTTGTCAAATGCAGTTCTGAACGTGCTCTCAACGTTTTGAACCCCCACAGACAAAACTATTATTACTAATATTATTATTATTATTATTATTATTTAAGACGGAGTCTTGCTCTTGTCGCCCAGGCAATTTTGGCTCACTGCAACCTCCACCTCCTGGGTTCAAGCAATTCTCCTGCCTCAGCCTCCCAAGTAGCTGGGATTACAGGCCCCTGCCACCCGCCCAGCTAATTTTTGTATTTTCAGTAGAGACAAGGTTTCACCACGTTGGCCAGGCTGGTCTTGAACTCCTGACCTCAGGTGATCCACCCACCTCAGCCTCCCAAAGTGCTGTGATTACAGGCGTGAGCCACTGCGCCCAGCCTATTTTTATCCAGATTAATTCTTCATTGTTTGTTTCCAGTTCTAATCCAAAATGTGTCCTTCTTTTTGAGTCCCAACTCCCCTCATCAACTGTTTGATCATAAATTTTCTCCATGAATAACACTATTTTGGAGACTCTTAACACTCAATCTTCTAAAAATGTGGACTACACTACTTCCAGTTTTTTACCACTCACTCTCTTCCCAGTCTACCACTGTCTGCTTTCTGTCCTCCACCACTCCACTGAAAATATGTGCTCATTCTTAGTCTAGAGCCCAGAAAAAAAGTCTTGGCCAAAAGCAGAGATTTGAGAGTTATTTACTCCCATAGTTTTAACTACCATTTCTATGATGATATCTTCTAGGTCAGTATTTATAGCTAAGGCCTTTTTCCTAAGCTGCAGACCTACTGTATGTCTCCACCTACATACTGTATTTCTCCATCCTTATGACACACAGGTTCTCCAAACAGGGTCAAAACTGTTGTCTTTTTATGTATATATATATATATATACACTTTAAGTCCTGGGGTACATGTGCAGAATGTGCAGTTTTGTTACATAGGTATACACATGCCATGGGGGTTTGCTGCACCCAGCAACTCATCAACTACATTAGGTATTTCTCCTAATGCTATCCCTCCCCTACCCTCCCACCCCCCGATAGACCCCAGTGTGTGATGTTCCCCTTCCTGTGTCCATGTGTTCTCATTGTTCAACTCCCACTTATGAGTGAGAATATGAAGTGCTTGGTTTTCTGTTCTTGTGATAGTTTGCTGAGAATGATGGTTTCCAGCTTCATCCATGTCCCTGCAAAGGACATGAACTCATCCTTTTTTATGGCTGTATGGTATTCCATGGTGTATATGTGCCACATCTTCTTTATCCAGTCTATCACTGATGGACATTTGGGTTGGTTCCAAGTCTTTGCTATTGTGAATACTGTCCTTTTATTATGCCCAGACATAGTGAGTGGTATTACCAAACACCCAGTAATCCAAATCAGAGAACTAAGACTGTATTCTGGGCACCCCTTTACACAGTCTCTCATACCTGTCAATTCTATATTTTAAATATATTTTTTTCACCTCTGTTACTACTAAGTTATTACTACTAGGCCACGATCACATCTTACTTTGACCGTAACTGGTGTCTGTGTCTCCAATCTTGACAACTGTTTCCTCCACTCCCATACATTTTGTACAAAGTAACCAGTGATATTTCTAAAATGCAGATCTGATCACAGCACTCTTCTTTTTAAAATCCTTCAATTCTCCTCTCCAACTGCCTACCACCTGCCACTGTCTTCAGAATAAAATTTCTTACCATGGCTTAGAAAAGTCTTTGAAATAACAGATGCTGGCAAGGTTGTAGAGAAAAGCAACACTTATATACTGTTGGTAGAAGTGTAAATTAGTTCAACCATTGTGGAAAGTACTATGTTTATTCCTCAAAGAGCTAAAAGCAGAACTACCATTTGACCTACCAGTCCCATTTCTGGGTATATACCCAGAGGAATATAAATCATTCTACCATAAAGACCCATGCACACAAACGTTTATTGCAGCACTGTTCACAATAGCAAAGACATAGAGTCAACCTAAATGCCCACCAACGACAAATTGTATAAAGAAAGTGTGGCATATATACACCATGGAATACTATGCAGTCATAAAAAGATTGAGATTTGTCTTTTGTGGGAACATGGATGGAGCTGAAGGCCATTATTCTTAGCAAACTAATGCAGGAACAGAAAGCCAAATACCAGATGTTCTCACTTATAAGTGGGAGCTAAATGATGATAACCTATGAACACAAAGAAGGGAACAACAGATACTGAAGTCTAGTTAAGGGTGGAGGCTGGGAGGACAGAGAGGAGCAGAAAAGGTAACTATTGAATGCTGGGCTTAGTACCTGAGTGATGAAATAATCTGTACAACAATCCATCATGACACAAGTTCACCTATGTAACAAACCTTCACAGGTACCTCTGAACCTAAAATATAAGCTAAAAAAAGTATTTGACTGGACTGTGCCCCCTATGCTCTAGATATGTTGAAACATGAATGTATATAGTGGGCAGCTCTTCAAATAAGACACACTTGCACTCACTTTAATGGCTTTTCAGACTCTTGCCATTGCCTGGATTATCTATCCTTCTTCTTCGCCTGGGTAGCTGCTACTTATATTTGAAAAGCCTTCCTTAACATTTCCTGGGTTAGGCATGTATGAATTCACATAGAATCTTGTGAGTTACCCTCTTACAGTATTAAACACATTGTACCATCATCATTTTTCCTCCCCATTAGACTGTGAGTTTGAGTACTGTGATATAATCATATATGTTTTATCTCTAGCAATTTGTACAGTAACAGGAATCAATTAGGTAATCAATATCTGTTGAATGAATGATATGGAATATATAGTACCATTATTCCCTGACATTTGCATATCGTAAAAGTACTTAACTCCCATTATAGACACAACCACAACTTTCATTTAACTAAAACTGTTGTAGTATTTCTAGCTTTGATTTTTCCACTTTTAGAGTGCAAGAATCAAGAGTAGAGTAGAGTGAAGTTAAACACTTAAGATTAAAACTTCTGTATGTGATTTTTAAAATACATATAAATGTTTTATTTCTAGTATATTATCTGTAATTCATTTACCAAATGTCATCTCTAAGTAGTCAAATAATGTATGATTTTTGATACCTTATTAGGTACTAGGCAGTCTGCTAAATACTAGGGATAAAAAAAGAATATGACACAGTTTCTGCCTTTAAATAGCTCAAAAACTAATGCGGAATATGGATTGACATATTTTTATAATTCAATGTAGTATGCACTATGGGGGGAGTATATATGAGGTGCTGTGGAAGCAGGTGGACAAAACAAATGACTGCTTGACTTCATCAGTGAAGTATTCTACAAAGAATGTGTTTTTTTAATGTAAGCTTGGAAGAACAAGTATGAGTTTTTCAGGTATGTGGGAGTAGGGGACAAAGAAAAGTGAGGACATAAAGCCAGAAAAAAGAACATGTGTAAAATGTGGAAAGTGTGAAAATGTAGGTAGTGTTTGTGGAACTCCAAGTACCTTGAAATGGTTAGAATACAGGACAATGGAGGGGAAGAGAAGGCATGGAAAATGAGGTTGGCAAAGAAGGCAGGGGGCAACCAGGAAAGGCTTTATGAGACATGCCAAAAAATAGAGTTTTCATCCTGTAGGTTACTGAGCACAGTTAAAAAGCTTTTACTTATGGAAGTAACAAGATTATATTTATGTTTTGGAAAGGTCATGCTGGATCCACCATGGAGAATGAATGGTGAAAGTTGAGACAGGGCAAAAATAGAAACTTATAGTCCACCTAAAAGGCTATGGTAACAGACAAGGTAAAAGATGAAGGGTGGTTGAACTATGACAGTAGCCATAGAGATGGAGACAATTGATGGATTTAAGAAATATGAAGAGCTAACAGATGGGATGTGATAATTGATACACCAAGTGAGGAACAGAGAATACTCAAGGATCAAGTCTATGTTTCTGTCTTGTATAACTTGGGTGAGTAATGGTCTCTTTTACTGAGACAGATTAGGTTTCAGTGGATTACACTGTTAAGTATTTATAGTAAATATACAGTTGAACCTTGAACAATGCAGGTTTGAACTGTGCATGTCCACTTTTACACAGATTTTCTTCCACCTCTGCCATCTCTGAGACAGCAAGACCAACCTTTTTTCTTCCTCCTCCTCAGCCTACTCAACATGAAGACAACAAAGATGAAGACCTTTATGATGATCCATTTCCACTTAATGAATAGTAAATACATTTTATCTTCCTTATGATGTTCTTAATAACATTTTTTCTCTAGCTTAGTTTACTGTAAGAATACAGTATATAATACATATAACATGGAATATGTGTTAATCAACTGTTTATGTTATCAGTAAGGCTTCTAGTCAACAGTAAGCTATTAGTAGTTAAGTTTTTGAGGAATCAAAAGTTATACACGGATTTTCTATTGCACATGGTGTCAGTGCTCCTAACCCCCACGTTGTTCAAGGGTCAACTGTAGCTAGAAAAGAGGATTTTGAATGTTCTCATCACAAAGAAATGATCATTGTTACATCTGTGTAGTGTGGGAACAAGGAAAAAAAAGAAATGATAATAGTTTGATGTGATGGATAAGCTAAGTACCCTGATTTGATCATATACAGTGTATACATGTATCAAAATATCAAAATGTATCCAATAAATATGCACAATTATTATGTGTCAATTTAAAATGAAATAAAACTTTGAGAAAATAATGTCAGAATGATTTAAATATTATGTGTGTAGAAGTATTGCCTTCTAGAATGCATGATATTACACAATTGCATAAATAATGGGTATCATTTTTTATTATTATTATTATTATACTTTAAGTTCTAGGGTACTTGTGCACAACATGCAGGTTTGTTACATATGTATACATGTGCCATGTTGGTGTGCTGCACCCGTTAACTCATCATTTACATTAGGTATATCTCCTAATGCTATCCCTCCCCCCTCCCCCTACACCACGACAGGCCCCACGGTGTCTGATGTTCCCCATCCTGTGTCCAAGTGTTCTCATTGTTCAATTCCCACCTATGAGTGAGAGCATGCGGTGTTTGGTTTTCTGTCCTTGCTGTAGTTTGCTGAGAATGATGGTTTCCAGTTTCATCCATGTCCCTGCAAAGGACATGAACTCATCCTTTTTTGTTATAACACTATTTGCATCAACTCTTTACCATAGTCACAATAGGACTGTGATAATAACATAATGAGGCTAATTTTTTGTTTACCTTATAAGAATTGGCCTCGTTATTTTATAGAACTGTGTATTTCCTTATCTTTTGAATGATTGACAGGTCTGGTGACAACACAAGTAAAACTGCTAGCTGAATAAGTCCTATTTTATTAAGTAGAAGAATAGTTGTTTTAACATCTAGTATATCTTTTAGTGGGTATTATCTAAGATATTCTGCCTTCGATGTTGATAGTTTGTTGATAGCACATTTGCCAGTGATTAATCTTAACACAGTTATTTTGCCTATTAGTGGGAAAAAAGAAAGTGAGATTGAGTTCCTTGAAAAATAGGACCATAGCCTTTATCTAGCTGAGTTAGATGCCAAAGTGTGTGGATTAACCATCTGTAGATAATCATGAGATTCTAGCACTATTACTATTGCTATTTTATTTTTATGTCAGATGATTGACTTTATCTTATTCAAACAGGATAGATCCTATTGGATAAGGACATTATTTATTAGAATAAAACTTTCTAATTTTATTAGAGGAAAAACGTTTTTGATATACTGATTTTTATTTCTAGTTTTTCAAATTGTGTGTATCCTATAGCCTACATTATTTTGTCCTTAGCTTATTATAACAAATGTAGGCAGTATGGGTCAAATGTAGCTGTGTTATAACCATAAATTCAATAAATACACTTTGAAATAATTTCATTAAATATCAAACTGCAATAACTGTACAGACTGAGAAAGTACATTATAAAAGAATATGTTTAAGCATGAATTAATGCTCAAACTTTTAAGCTTTTATATTTCTAAAAAGGAGCTTGGCAATCATTTTTCAATTTAGTAACAGATTGGTATTGGAATAAATTAGAACTAACTAGCAAAGAAATGACTAAAGAAGAGACAAGAAGTTTCTTTTCTGTGCATTTACTTAT